>NC_000006.12:163252608-163404123 GCF_000001405.40 Homo sapiens
TTTGGCTTAGGGATTGTGAACTAGATGCTCCAGCTTTCAATTTGTCAACTGGTTTATCTCCTAACGGACACCTCACCAGTGTTTTCCTCACACATTCACAAAGACGCTTTTAACCTGTTGGCAAGAAGCAGATTTAATTGGAAAAGGGTCTGATTCCTAACAGAACAAAAGACAAAGTATATTACATGTAGTGACTACGTTATACTCTTGTGCAGTCGCTTACAACTTCAGGCTGGGTCACCAAGGAGATGGTGAGTGAGCTTTGAAACTAAAAGTAAGCAAATTCTGACTAAGAATCATGTCCAGTGACTGAGTATGTGTGTGTGTTTCTTCTCCATTGCTGCTTTGACCTATTCAGATGTCAAGAACTACAAAGAAATAAGATGCTAAAGAAATCAGAAAATCTGGCCAGGCATGGTGGCTCGTACCTGTAATCCCAGCACTTTGGGAGGCTGAGGCAGGCAGATCACTTGAGGCCAGGAGGTCGAGACCAGCCTGGCCAACGTGGCGAAACCCTGTCTCTACTAAGTAAAATACAAAAATTAGCCAGGCATGGTGGCGTGTTCCTATAATCCCAGCTACTCGGGAGGCTGAGGCAGGAGAATCATTTGAACCCAGGAGGCAGAGGTTGCAGTGAGGGGAGATCGCACCACTGCACTCCAGCGTGGGTGAGAGAGTGAGACTGTCTCAAAAAAAAAAAAAAAAAAGGAAAGAAAGAAAGAAATCAGAAAATGTAAAAAAATAGATGAGCTCTTGTGATATTTCTAAGAAATATAATTCTATTAATAAAATCGAATTGGTTGGAATCCAAAGGCATTTTAAAGTTTCAGAACAAATTAAACTTTTTAAAGTTTCAGGACACATGTCTAAATGTCTGTCTATCTAAAATTTATTTTAGGGGTAGGAGGGAAATTGGAGATTGTCTATCTAAACCTTCTTATTTTACAGGAGAGGAGACTGAGGCCCAAAGAATTTAGCCATGTTGTATAAGCTTACTCAGCCAGGTGGTGGTCAAATCTACCCTAGAAAGAATGTTCCCCATCACCTGGCCCAAAAACTGCACTGTCAGTTTTATAAATAGAATGCACGTTATCAGGACCAGAGTAATATTAGAAGAGATTAAGCCACACAAAACTATCTTCCCTCACCAGGTGCCTCCTTGAGCCTGAAATTCCACTCTTGGATAATCATTCTTGGGGCACACATTTCCGAGTTGGCCTGCTCCTCCAAAGGACGTGCTCCCGGCCCTGCAGTCACTGAGTGCCACTGGAGCAGGGCTCCCAGCTCTGAGAGGGAGGGGCTTAGTGTTCCTGGAGACCCCTGACGGGGAGCCAGGGTGGACGGCTGCAGTGGCACCCCAAGCTCACTGGAAGCCTTGGGGACAAGGGAGGATCCAGGAGAAAGGGACGGGTGTAGAGCACAGGGCAGAAGCGGAGGGCCAGCCACTTCTCCTGCTACCACCAGGGCCAGCCCTGCCTCTGCATCTTGGGCATCGGGACAGCAGCAATTTCAACATAGCCCTGAGCCAACTTAAAATGCAACAGCACTTTAAAAAAAATCTCATTCATCATGTAATATGTCTGATCTTAAAACTGACATCTGATTTTTTAAGGCAGCTGCTCTGGAAGAAATTTTCTGTGGATCGCAAGAGTCTGAAGCCCCATGAATGACCAAAAATATGCGCCTGAAAGAGAAATGCGCTGATGAAGGGGGAGGAGGATGGGAGGGGAGACTCTGAAATTGTTTCTCACTTTAGGGAAGAGGCACAACAATAAAAAACATGAGGCCCCATTGAAGTAGGACTTTAAATTCCACCCGAAAACAATCCCAACAAACAGATCCATTGTTATATGTTTTGCTACAAGTAATAGACAAAGCAATTGTGAACCAGGACCTGAGCCCTCCCGTCAGCACATAGTCTGGGTTCTTCAGCTCGCGAGTGGGCTCAGATGGCCTCAGAAATGTAGTTTGCTCTCCCCTTTAAGGTCACTGTCCAGGACGAGGTGAGGTAAACAAGGGTTCCAAGTAAGCCATGTGTTACCCATAATTGATCAAGGGAAGATAACAGCCATGAGGCTGTCCTGGACCCCTGCCCGTGCAGCAGGGCAGAACCATTGCCACTCTGCCCAGAAGGTGCCCCCTCCTCACTCCCTTCTCTCGTCCACCCCATAGGCCAGCAGGATTTGAAGGAAGGAAAACAGTTACAGCTGCACCACTGGGCTTGGCCTGCACTGTGCTGATGTTTTTAAAGCGTGGGCTGTAACAGAAGAGATGATCTTCAGCCTCACTCTTTTCCTGGTGCCTCCTCAGTATCTTAACACCTTCTTTTTCTAATCAACTATTTAATTACACAAGCCACGGGCTTTCTACGTCAGGTTCTCCCTTACACGTGAAACCGAGGCTCACGCAGCACATGAGAAACAACGTGTTGCCCTGAGAGGTTAGCAAGTTAACCTGGACTTAGACCCATCATCAACCAAAGAACAAGAAAGACCCAATGTCCATGGCAACATCCAGCTAGAATAGCACCTCTCCCTAAAACTGGATTTTGCCCGGCTGCAGAGTTCTGTGCTGTCTACATAGAATTGTTGGTGTCACCTGGGAGGCTCAGGAAAGGAGAGCCCGAATAAAGAGGAAGAAGAAACTGCAATTTAGGTCCCCAAGCCCAGGACCAGCCTGAGAGACCAACCTGGCCAGGCTTGGTGTCAAAGGGTACTGCAAGGATTTCCAGGCAGGCAGGCAGGTGACCTGAATCCAGGTACCTTCAATGTCCAGGAGGTGACTGACGGGCAGCAGCCACTCAGGTGTTTGCATAGAGGCAACTGGACACCATCCTGCAGGCCAAGAGGAGGTCTGTGCATGGGGCAAGAATACAGGCTCTGTCTGAGGGTCAAGCAGGATGGCAGGTTGTCAGGCACAGTCAGCAGGTGGGCAGCCAGGGAGAAAGAGACCTGGGCCTTGGGGGCGACCCACCCAATCACCTGGGAACAACAACAGGTCCTGATTCTTTTTCTTCTTCTTGTTCTTTTTTTTTGAAACAGAGTTTGAGACAGAGCCTTGCTCTGTCACCCAGGCTGGAGTGCAATGGCATGATCTCAGCTCACTGTAACCTCTGCCTCCCGGGTTCAAGCAACTCTCGTGCCTTAGCCTCCCAAGTAGTGGGACTACAGGCCTGAGCCACCACACCCAGCTAATTTTTGTATTTTTAGTAGAGATGGGGTTTTACCATGTTGTCCAGGTTGGTCTCAAACTCCTGGCCTCAAGTGATCCACCTGCCTCGGCCTCCCAAAGTGCTGGGTTTACAGGTGTGAGCCACCATGTCCAGCCCCTGATTCTTACTGGAAGCAAGGGGGCACAAATGGTACAAAATTTTTAAACAGCAGAATGTATCACTATTAGCTTTATAACTTCCCCAACTGCTTTCACTCTTTGAAAGTTATTATCCTTCCAGAGGCTCATGTACTATTCTACGTTCTGCTAATTTTTCTATGAATTTTTAAACATATTTGACTTTAATTTTCTTTTAGTTCACAGGATAGGATGTGTATCTGAAATTAATTTTTCTCTAATGTGCTATATCTCAAAATCAGCTATTAATCCTCCCCCACTGCTTTGTACTGCCTGTTTTACTGTATATTCCATTCTGACTCAAAATTCAGTCTATTTGCATTAGTTTAACAAACACATGCTGAGTCCCACCACGTGCGGGGCACTATTCTGGGTGCTGAAGATGCAACAGTGAACAGCTTGGCTGTCACATCTGTACTTACAGAGGATTCTCGTTGGAGGAGACAAGATAAACAAGGAAATAAACTATCATCTATCACATGGTGATCAATTTCATGAAGAAAAATAAAACAAAGAAGGGGAATAGAAAATTCCAGCCAGGTGGTGAGGTGCAACCTAAAGCCAGGTGGTTAGGGAAGGCCTTACCAAGAAGGGGACATTGACAAAGACCCCCAGGGATGATGGATCCGTGAGGAAAACGTTCCAGCCCACAGAAAGCACATGCAAAGGCCCCAAGAAGGGACACGTCGGTGCCTTGAAGGAGGCCAGTGCCCGAGTGAAGGCAAGAGTGGTAGGAGGTGACAGGGAAGGTGGCCGGCAGTTCATGTAGAGACTTCACTGTGAGGACACTGACGGTGACCCTGAGTGAGACGGGAGGTCCATGTCCTGGGGATGCTGTAACTAATGACCGCAACTTGGTGGCTTAAAGAAACAGACACTTATCCTCTCACAGTTGCAGAGGCCAAAAGTCCGAAATCAAGGTGTTGGCCATGTCGTTTCCTTCGAGAGGCTCTGAGGGAGACTAAAGGCAGGGGGAACCCTGGATCCTGGCAGTTGCAAGCGACCTTTGGTGTTCCTTGGCTCGTAGACACATCACTCCAATCTCTGCCGCCATCTTCACGTGGTCTTTTCTTGTCTGTGTCTCGGCGTCTCTGCCTATCTGTCTCTTATAAGGACACAAGTCATTGGATTTAGAGCCCATTCTAACTAAATCTAGGATGTTCTTATACCGAGATCCTTAATAACATCTGCAAAAACCCTATTTCTAAATAAGGGCACACTCACAGGTATGCAGGTTAGCAGTGGGGCGCATCTTTTGGGGAGACACAACTCAACCCCGTACATGTTGAGTTGAGAAGGTCTTTGAACACAACAGGGCAATGATCTGTGTTAAAGGGGGCATTCTGGGGGCTGTATGGATAGGGGTAAGGGGGTTCAGGCAGCAGCAGAGAGCCCAGTTAGGAAAGACTATACCAGTTATCCAGGTGAGAGGCGCAGTTGGTTGAACAAGTCAGTGGTGGTATAAGAAATAGTTCCATGAGACTAATTACGTAAGACACAGAAGGAGCCGTTATTCAGAAGGTGGATTCTGATCCCTTAGTCAGTTCCACTCATTTAAATTGTTATTTTTTTACAACTATCAAACTACGTTCATTGCTGTTTCTCTATGTTTTCAAATATCTCATAGAGTTAATCCTCTTCTTCCTTTTCTTAGTTGGATTATATAAATCTATTAATTTGCTTGAGACAATATTTTCCTTCTCCTTCAGGAATACTGTATATATGTAAGTGTATGAACAGATAGATTGATTGATGTCAACTTATTCAAGTCTTTTATTATCTTTTAAATATTTTTTAACTTCTTTATAGCTAGGACACATGCCTCAATAGATTTATTGCCAAGGGTCTCTTGTGGAAAAGGGGTTGATATTGTGGACAGGATTTATATTTTTATTACAACAACTGGTGCCAACTAATAATTAACAAGGCTATTAATTTTGGTATGCTTATTTTAGATCTAGTACTTTATTGAATCATTTTATTAAATATTATTATTTCCGCTGATTCCTCTGCACATTCTGGTTTTCCATTATATTAAGCACAAATAATTATCTTTTCTCTCTTCCCATTATTATACCTCTTTATTTTTTTATGTCTCATTGCATTAACTAGAGTTTTCAGAACACTATTAAGGAATCATTCTTGTTTCCATTTTTAAACAGAATTTACTTCATCTATCCATTAAGCACAATATGGGCTCTTATTTTCCACAACTTTTTATCATGGTAGAAAAAGTAGAATCTATTCCTAATATTTTAATATTTTTGGAACCTTATTAAGTGTTATCAGTTGTCTTTTAGACATGTCATTTATTTTAATTTAACCCATTAACATTGTATACCTTTTTAGTGTATGCTGTCATGTTGGATTTCTTGCATTGTGGAATATACCTTCCAGCAGACTCCTTTAGATGGGCTTAAAGCAAGATTTCAGGGTGTTAATTTTTGCATTTCTTTGCTTATTTTTATGATTAGGGATCTGCTTGATTTGGGTGACATCCTCATTAAAATCAATATTCTCGCCGGGCGCAGTGGCTCACGCCTATAATCCCAGCACTTTGGGAGGCCGAGACGAGCAGATCACGAGGTCAGGAGATCGAAACCATCCTGGCTAACACGGTGAAACCCTGTCTCTACTAAAAATACAAAAAATTAGCCGGCAATGGTGGCAGGCGCTTGTAGTCCCAGCTACTCGGGAGGCTGAGGCAGGAGAATGGCGTGAACCTGGGAGGCGGAGCTTGCAGTGAGCCGAGATGGCGCCACTGCACTCCAGCCTGGGTGACAGCGAGAATCCATCTCAAAAAAAAAAAAAAAATCAATAGTCTCATATTATAATGTTCGTAAGAACTATGACACCTTGGGAGAGGGTCTTGGAGAACTGGCTACCAACAATTTTTATTAACACTTCTGGCAAAAGCACTAGCTTTCGGTATCAACATCATTATGATAAAAATGTGTTTATGAAATGCCTCTAATAATCACTAATGCTTTGGTGTGGTTCCAAATAGTTCTTGTCCCCGAGGAACTAACAACACAAAGTTGTAGATTGTGTCAGATTTTGCAGTTCATAAATCGTCTCCACATCAATGGTCATGGGGCAGCATTATTAGACCCATTTTTACAAATGAGGAATCTGATACCTGACAAGAATAGGAATTTACATAAGGTCATTAAGCAACCAAGACAGGCACAGACAGAACTTGAACTCAGGAGTCCTGATCCCAACCCCGTGCTCCTTTCAACGTGCCACACTGACTCAACACCCAGCAACTAACAACATTCAGCAAAAGCATGAGAAGACATGATGTTCTATGCTAAGACTGGCTAATAACTGCTATGGGGAGAGATTGGAAAGGGTTCTTCTGGAATCCCCATGCTCCCCAATGCCACTTCCTAACAATTATCCCCATTCACCGTGTAGAACCCCATTGCTCCTTTAACATTCAGGCCAGTTAGTGGTATCGTCCTGTGTCCCTCTCACTTGTGTCACCTGCTGACCTCTTCAGCCACTGAACCATACTGATTCTAGCATCTGGCCCAGAAGCCTCCATCTCTGTCATCCGAGGTGACCTGGTGTCCATACGGAAGACAGCTCCGAATTCTTCCTTGACCTCTTCGGCTCCACTGGTCATTTGGGCATCACTTCAGCCATCCAGACCCACAGCCTCAGCCTCACTTTGGACCTCAGGAGGACCTCACCCCAAAATATTAAGCTCTGACATCCTTCACTCTGACTATAAGGTCTTAGCCTTCATCTCTCTACAGTACGCCTTCCCAGCTGTTCCCTCACCCAGGTCTTTCCCATGTTGCCCCATCTGTGGCCCCTTTCCTTGCCTTCTCCAGGCTGGGTCTCAGGGTTGATCGCTAGGACTATAGGAGACCTCCCATCCGCCCCGCTCCACCCCCAGAGGCTGAGGGATGAGGGGCGGGCAGTGGAGCTGATGGAGGAAGGAGAACAGGATTCTCTGAGGAGCTGCTTCAGGCTAAGGTCCGGTCCTCTGATGATGTGCTGGTTTCAGAGTTGGAAGAGGGTGTGTGCCTGTGTGTTCCTGATGTCCTGATGAGGGTGCCCCAGGACACACGAGGGCCATCCCGCCCCTCCAAGCCCCAGCCCCTGGCTTATCCTTGGTGCCTCCAGATCTCACTCCAACTCTCATCCCCCTTCCCTTCCCGATGTTTTCCCTGCAGCATCGTCCAGTCCCCAAGCACTTCCATGGAGCTCTGCTCACTGCCGTCTGGGCCACCAGCCAGCACCTCAGCAGCCCCTTCAGCGATCGCTGGCATGGGCTCTGCCTTGGTCTCTCCTGGTCTGACGCCAACCCGGCCGCTTCATTTCCTGCGAGGGGAGCTCTCTTCAGCTCCCACGTTGGTCCAAATTGGTTTGGTCTCTTCTAGACCTCAGAGCCCATACACAAAGAACAAAGGCCAGTTAGTCTCCCACTCTGCAATTATTCAAAGTTCGGGCTTTAAAACGCAGAGATTTTTCTGCTTCATCTACCCACAGCTCAGCAACTGTATTTCTACACCTATTGTTATTCTATTTCTGTTCCTAATTGCTATTGTAGAAAACCGTGCCTAGCTGAAGCTTCGGGAGTTGCCAATCCGTGGGCTCCCTTCAAATGTAAATGTGTTATGCAAATGTCTTCTGAGGCTGGGAGTGGGATCCTGTGGTCTTCCCTGGGTAGAGACAGGGAAAGAATACTGCTGGGATGGCTGAGAAACAGAAGACAATCCGCTGCCCTCGTTATTTAAACGCTCACTGTTCTGAGATGGTTTCCTGTCTCCAACTTCCTCTCCTGCTCTAGCAGCTGAATTTAAAATACTTGCTACAGAACACTGCTTCTTCTGGGCAGGGAACGCTGCTGCTTAACCCTTCCATGCTCGTTCCCTGTGGGGACACAGCGTGTTGGCCAGCTGCACCTCTCCCAGGGTCTCAGGACCATGTCTGTAAGGTAGATGCTATTCGAATCTAGGAACCTTTTTTTTTTAATATGGAAAATCACCTATCTAAATAATGCATTGTCATCGTTAGCAAAACCTTAAAGCATCAGTACTGGTGGAGACCTTGCCATTCCAAGCAGAGTTCGAATCCTTCCAAAAACAGCCACGACATCAATGCAAAAAAAATGTTGTTTTCCAGGAGTGCTAGTCCCATCGGGAGAGCTCCTTCCCTCCTCCCTCTGTCTTCCCGGCTCCCCATGTTCCTGAGCCCGGAGCTGATCTCCGCCTCTTCTGCCCTCAGCTTAGCTGCCTGTCATCATGCCAGGCAGGCACTGGATTTTCTTTTCTTTCTATTTTTTTAATTTTACTTTAAGTTCTGGGATACATGTGCAGACAGTGCAGGTTTGTTACATAGGTAGACATGTGCCATGGTGGTTTGCTGCACCTATCAACCCGTCATCTAGGTTTTAAACCCCGCATGCATTAGGTATTTATCCTAATGCTCTCCCTCCCCTTGCCCCCCACCCCCTGAGGTGCTGGATTTTCACTGTCCTGAGATTTTCACTCTCCCTCATACCCTCTTTGCTGGCCTCCCATTATCACCAGCAGCAATTTGGTCCAAAGAAAGTTCTCAGCTTCTGAATGAATGAGCCCTCAAACCCATGAGCTCCTTGACTCAGTGCTTATGCTGTGCTGAGCCAGGCACTCGCAGGACACTCGGCCCTGCTGGTCAGCCCTGCTGGCCGGGGGCTCCACATCTGTGGATTTGGCAAAATGCAGATCTGAAATACTTGGGGGGAAAATATGCCTGTACTGAACATATACAGAAATTTTTTCTTGTCATTGTTCCCTAAACAATAAAGTATAACAACTATTTACATAGCCTTACATTGTGTTAGATATGATAAGTAATATAGAGATGATTTAAAGGATACCAAAGGTTGTGCAGGGGTTATACGCAAATACTGCACCATTTAGTATCAGGGACTTGAGCATCTGTGGATTTTAGGATCACCCGGGGTCCTGGAACCAATCCCCCAGGAATACGGTGGGACAACTATATTAATTAATTAACCTTTTTTGCATTTATCAGTAGTTTCTGTGTTCAATATTGTCTATTGCTGCTATTTCCAAGATGTGGGGAAAAGGTGACCACAAATATATAGAAATGTATTCTGTGCATTCTAAAATAAATTCTAAACTATATGAAAGTAGAGGGCAAAGCAGAAAATGCTGGAAAAACGGCCCTGGCCCAAGACTTTGAGCTGTTTGTCTTTCGTTTTTCACACTGTCGTGTTACTCAGTAGTCCTGGCAGCTCTACTGTACCATTCTGAATTTCAGAGAAAGAAAGGGGAGCTAACTCTGCCCTGGAATATTATTTATGTTCTAAAGTGCTAAAAGTACTTTCAAGCGCAATTAGCTTATTTAAGAGGCAGAGATTATGTTGTTCTCTGCCTACCTCATCGGGTCACTGGGAGGATCACAGGCGGGGGAATATATATCTGTGTTTTGAGCACAGTAGGAAGAAAATCTTTGTGTAAATTCAGGTTGGCTTTATAATGATCCGGCAAGATTGGAATATCTGATCAAAGCGAATCACTCTGATCTACTCAGTTACAACATGATCTCTTTTTTTTTTTCAGATCTAATAATATATCACAAATTGACATGTGCTTGTGAGAATGATTTGTGGTTGATCTCGATGCTCAGACATGGCCATCGGCATTCCAATTATTCCCTCCCCTTTACTTAATTTCACTACAGACTTGCCCCATAGCTCATGGTTCTATAACAGTCTCTGACTTCATCACATTTTTATCAGGAAACAAATGGATCACTGGCTTGCACAAAATACAAATTTAGGCCAGGTGCAGTGGCTCACACCTGTAATCCTAGCACTTTGGGAGGCTGAGGCGGGAGGATCACTTGAGCGCAGAAGTTCAAGACTAGCCTGGGCAACATAGTGAGACCCCCCCCCCCATGTCAACTAAAAATTTAAAAAATTAGCCCAGTGTGGTGGCGCATGCCCAGGTAGTCCCAGCTACTCAGGAGGCTGAGGCGGGAGATCTCCTGAGACCAGGAGGCTGAGGCTGCAGTGAGCTATGATCACACCACTGCACTACAGCCTGGGCAACCGAACAAGACTCTCCCTCAAAAATAATAGTAATATATAAATTTGTCTGCAATTGTGAAAAATAAATAAATTTACATACTAGATCCAAGGCCCTGAGTTTTAACTTGATAACTGGGGCCAGGTATCTTACAGACCCCAGGAGGCCTTTCAAACCCGTTACTTGCGTCGTCATGCCAAGGGGCTGAGAACCCTTCCCTTCCCATCCCGAGAGCCCAGAAAGAATTCTGCAACTGTCTGTGAGCCAACTAGACTTGAACAGGCTAACTGACCTGCTACTCAGGAAAGAAACATTAGCTTGCTCACAAGAGCTTCCCTCACAGACTTGGTACAGAAGTCTAAGGATCACGTGGCGGCCGCAGCCTCTGTGTTTCTGTCCCCTGAGTCAGCACGTACAGAACACGCTGTGCGCCAAGGACCAGACCCTGCTGTGGAGAAAGCTACAGTGAAAGGTCAAGTCTGTGCAGAAATATGTGACTATTGAACACCCTCCTCTTCTCAATCACAAAAGCTCTTTATAATTCCTCCTCTGCAGGCAAAAACTGTGGGAAACTCTCACATTAGGCAGAATTTTTTTCTGACAATATCTGGAACCAAAGACCCACAGTCAGGTTAAAAATCACATTTTCATTGAAACAGTTTATGAAAAGCCTATTACCTAGCAATTTTATATTTGAATGCAATTATGTTAATGTTATTAGTACATTATGAATGGTACTAATATGATTATTGTTTCATGTGGTATTACAGGAAATTAATTCAAATGGATTTACATATTTTTTAGATAAAGGGCACTGCTAACACGGATAAATAAGAAGCCTGACGTTACTTTAAAAACAAAAGATAGCACTGAGAAAGCCAGGTTGTGACTTCATTTGTAATACTAACACACCATTTTTGTGCTTTTTTGTTGATGTAAATATTTTGCAATTTCCAAAGTGTTTTTCTTGTTGAATGCAGCAATCTGAATTAATTTCCCCAGCCTCTGCCAGTGTGCCTTTAGCCCATTTTATACTTGAGGGAGTTGAGAGTCAAGAGAAGGAAACTTGCCCCAATTTATACCCAGAATCCAGACAGTGCAAGATGCAAACTCAAATAGCTGAGAACTCAACTCCTACTGTTAGATCATCGGGGAATGTAACTTCTCACGTCGAATCATTCAGAGTTGTAATTAAGTAAGGCCGGACCTCTGGAAGCTCTCCTTCCCTGGATTTTGGTGAAAGGAAATGCTTGTTTCTGCACTGGGCAAGGCTGATTTCCATCTCACAGTACACTTTCTGCATCTCCTGCTTATCCAGAGGAGACCCCACCAGCCTCCCGAGCTCCATCGTCCCTCAGAGTCACTCCGCATCCACTGCGCACTGCTCTACACACTGCTCTGGGCTAGTCACACTGTGCTGCTGGAGACAAAAGTGTGAGCACAAAACAAGCCAGCAGCAGGGGACACTGTGTGCACTCAGCCCATGCAAACAGTAGGTGCCAGCCGAAGTCGTTCAAGGGCGACAGAGCGGTCACAGGTGTGGTTGAGAAGAGCCGCCCAGAAACAAGATCTGGGCTGGGCCTAGACAGAGATTGGTGGGGCAGCTGAGGTGAGGGGAGCTGTGGGTGCAAGGGCAGAGGGCAATTTGCAGGGTATATACACGGTGAGGGCAGAGCTTCCGCTGGTTGGAAAATAGGGGGTGAAACTGAGTTGGGGACAAACTGCAGATTACCTCTAGGCTTAGGACGGAGGAGTTGCTGCCAACTTTTAAACACCTGAAATTGATAAGGGAGAAGCTGCCTCTGCCAAAACCAATCTGGCAACTGTGCACAGAAAAACAGGTTAAGAAACGAGTCTTTCGCAAGTATGTAGGCCTGGGGTGATAAAGGCCTGAACTACCTAGGAGGGATGGCCTCTGCCCCAAGCCAAGGAACGCTATCAAATCTGATAAACTAGTAAGCTGGGAATGATAATTCTATGGTGATAGATCCTAGCAATGGATGATATGCTTTTAAGCTGAAAGTGCTTTGAGGACTAGTACTCTATCTTATTTGTCTATTTTCAGCTTGTAGTAAAGAGCCGGCTTCCACTCCTGCTGGGTGAATGAACGCATGCATGAACGAATGAATGCAGGCATGTGCGAATGAGTGGGCTCTAAAGATAGTATGTTGTAGATAATTTCCTGACTAATGATAGGGATTCCGACCCTGATAGGCTTACAGGAAGCTGCCTCTCAGTCGGTCCTGGTGTGGGTGGCTCCATCACCTGTGTGCAGGCCCCTTCTGGTCCGCATCCTTTTCCCTGGATGAGGAGGGCCTGCAGGCTGACAGTGACAGGTGTTCCTCCAGTGCCCGTCAGGAATGCCCGGGCTCCCTTCTTCTCCAGGGAAGGGGGTGGGGGGCACTCTTCGGGCCCGTGGGTATTTGTTTTAATGGAAGAAATGTGGGTAAATACAGTCTTCAAGCACAGAATGAAGTGAGGATAATATTAATTACTACCTTCGGTGATTGTTGTGAGGATTAAATGAGTTAATATATATGCATAGAGTAGTCGCTGATGTATATATAATAAGCATATAGTGTTAGCTGATGTTATTATTATTTGTTATTACTAACCAAACCAATTGTCCCACCTATTAAATTCTTAATATTTCCATTCTAGAAATAAGCTAAATAAGAGCAATTCCTTAAATTCTTTCAGCAGTACCAACTTTCCTACTTTCCCTTAAAGCCACAGTTAATTTCTAAGTAGCTAGTTGACATGTTAATGATCGAGGTTAAATATTACATCAGGATTTTATTTTAGTGATTAAAGAAAATAAACACCTAAACTTTTATATTGAGCATTTACCATAATTCCGAGTCAAAAATTAATCTAATATTTTGACTACTGTACATTTCACTTCTGCAAATAAAAATTTGACCCATAAATTTAAATGGATGTTGGTGCATCTCCAACTATTTAGCATTAAATTCATTCTGTCAACACTTTCCAATTATCTTCTCATAAGACAAATAGTAACAGACCAATTCCTAAAAAGTCATTTGTGTTTAATTGAATTAGTAGTTGTGTTTGATTGAAATATGTTAAAGCCATTATAAAAATAAATTCTTTTCACTTATTGGTGAATTTTTCTACCTATGCTGTCAAAATGGCTAGAAATATCAATTACAAACTTTGTGAATGGGAAGTGGAAATGTCCATTCTTTATTCTTTCAGAACAGATAAAAATACTGTAAAATCAGAAACCGGATTTGGATTTTAAAGACTATAGGTAAGTAATACCGGTAAATAGGATATCTCGTAAAGAGAAAATGGACTGTGGCTTAGGAATTTAATGAAATAGAGGGGAGCGGTAATTTTGAGTCCATTTAGGATTTTACTGGCTTACTGTCCAGCAAGAGGACTTAGATTAAATTATTGGTTTTCTGTGAATCTGAATTTCCTGGTCTGTGTTGTCAGGACAGGGATGGAACTTTGGGGAAATGTGTGGAACAGATGTGTGGGAGAAGCCAGATGGGGCCAGGATCTTGGGTCTAAGAGAGCTTTCTGTAAACTCTGTAGTCTCTCATGCTCATCTAACCTCCTTCTCCTGATTTTTTTGCTCACATTTATTGATCATTTACTCTATGCAAGACAAAATTCTGTGACTTTTGCATGTATTACCTCTCAATCTTCAAAACAGCCCACAGATTAACTGCTTATGTGACCCTCATCTGACAGATGAGGAAACTGGAAGCTCAGAGAAGTGGATGCTTTGCCCAGGGCTGGAGAGCCAGGCTGGGGCTGATATCCCAGCCGTCAAATGTCAGGCTCCTGCTCTAGACCGTGGCCACAAGATTTGGGGAAAGTTCCCTCTTCCCGGGCAGCACCAGTTTTATGAGCACGTTCTTCCTTCCTGCCCAAATGTATAGTGAGCCCCTCATCAAATGGCTTAACTTCAACATGGAACACGTCTGTCACACAGGAAGCTGCGTGCCCAGAGCCTGGCCAGAGAACCAGGGCCAGGGGCATGAAAGCAAAAAGGCAGAGGGTACTAAAGACCCCAGGAGCTTGATGCTGAGGCAGTACTCTGGATAAGTCACTGTAGGGAAAAATGCTCCACGTAAACTAAGCTCTTCCTGAAGCTTTCACACTGGGAGAGGGGGTCTGCCACTCGTTGGTGCTGGGTAGGCAGAACTCTTCATCCTGGGACCACAAATGACCCCTGCATTCTTCCATGAGCTCTGGGCTTCACTGTCAGCACAGTCCCATCAGTGACGAGTCCCCGCCTCTTCCTAACTGCATGATTTATCTTGGCTCATTCATTTACCAAGAAACTATTGAATGCCTACTAAGTGCCTATTATTCAGCAGTTGTTTAGTCAAGAAATGAGCCAACGTACAAGAACAGAAGGCAGCCTGCTTCTAAGTCCTAGTTTTCTAAAGTACTTTTAAGATCAGTCATATCCAGTGGGACCATAATATTTCACACCAATTCTACAAAAAGCTACATTCAATTAATGAAAAGCGTAAGTTATCAAACATGTAAAAAGTACCATTTGTTTCTTTGAAGTATCTACTATAAGTCAAATTTTATTAATGAGACATTACAGATGACCTGCCTCAAAGGTTAGATTAAAAAGTATTTTTGCATATCAATTCTATGTATATGTGCAGATCTTCTAACCTATTCTAAGGTGTCATAAAATGGTTTATTCTTAGAACAATCGTATAAATCCCCTGTCACATTTAAACAATTTACTCTGTGAGTAAAGGCTTACTAAGCAAGGAAACTCCCATACGGTCCCTAATAAATTATTAATTTCAAATAAATGTAGTCTTTCTCTCCCAATGGCTCACTCTCTGATGTTTCTCATGCTTTTCAGCACTGCCAGATCTGAGAAATAAAACAAAGTAACACCCAAATGAGTTACTTTTAATTCTGAGAAGAATTTATAACTAACAGATAAGATGTTGATATTTTCAATATGTGGCTTTAGAAAACATTAAAGTAATTTAGAAAGAAAAATTTAGCTAGCTTCCATAAAAATTTAGCACATTAATTTAAATGAATAAAATTTAACAGAAAAGCAAAAGTACGTTATAGATACTTTGAAAGTGTTGAAATTGGCCTGGCGCGGTGGCTCACACCTGTAATCCCAGCACTCTGGGAGGCCGAGGCGGGTGGATCACAAGGTCAGGGGATTGAGACCATCCTGGCCAACATGGTGAAACCCCATCTCTACTAAAAATACAAAAAAAATTAGCCGGGCGTGGTGGCGGGCGCCTGTAGTCCCAGCTACTCGGGAGGCTGAGGCAAGAGAATGGCGTGAACCTGGGAGGCAGAGCTTGCAGTGAGCCAAGAATGCACCACTGCACTCCAGCCTGGGTGACTAAGTGAGACTGTCTCAAAGAAAAAAAAAAAGAAAGTATTGAAATATAGTAGGATGTAAGCTTCCAAACAACTTACAGTTTAAAATCTCAAAAATAAAAATCTTTTACTAATGTGATATAATTTATTACTTCACATTTCCAACACTATAGTAGGAATATTAGCTTTTTTCTTTCATAAGAAAGCCCTAAACGGTCAGTTTGCTGTTCATACTTTTTCTGATGGCCAAATCCTTACTTTTTTTTCCAATTGTTTTATGGTTCTATCAGCTATAACATCATATTTGCTGATTTCATTCTGAATCTTTCCAGGTCATGGTTTTGCCTGCTTTTATGTAATATTCATTTGTGTTTTATTTTTATCCATGCCTCCTTGAAAAGTAGGAAATTCAATTTGGATTGCTATCATGTTTTTCTTTCTTTGAGTGGCTCCCCGTAGCTTCCTTCTTGCTCTGTGTTTCTCCTTTACCATGGACCCCGTGTGCTGCTGGCCTGGGTGGAAACACCAAAATGATGTGCTTCCGACTTCTTCCTAAGTTTGTGATTATAAGGTTTTCAAATTACATGCAACTTTCTATAACAGGCTTCTCATCTGGCAAATGAATTAAAATATTTACTGATATTGTCTCAATCCTAGCAACAGCCAATTGGAAATGTCAGTTTTTAAAAGATCCTATCGAGAGTGTCAACAAGAACTGGGTAACTCCTCCAAGTAAACTTAGTAAGACATCTGCAAGACCTCTGTGAAAGAAACCATCCAAGAAAGATACAAAAGATTGGAACAAATGGAGGCACACATCCTCCTGGCTGGAAGGACTCACGTTGTTGGTTTTGCCCATCCAGCACCTGGTAACACATGCTTAGTTTCTCTTTACAGTCTCAGTGGGGTAGGCCTGCCAAGGATCCCTTCCCATCCCTGGCCAAGAGGTGAGCATTTGGCCCAACTTAGGCCAGCTGGGCTCTGCCTGGGGACTTGAAGCTTGACTGAGGGTCAAAGGGCTGAAAATGTTTGGAGATGATTCTTCTGGTTGACAGGTTCTGTAGATAGCCCCTACATCATGCCACCTGTGTCCATGGAGCTTCCCAAATTCCTGCCTCTTTCTGAGACCTGGTTCTTCACATTGTTCTTTGATTCAGTTCGCTACCTCCTACCTTTCCAGTAGGTTCTCTTTATGTTCCAGTTATCTGAAGTTAGTTTCCACTTCTTGTGAGCAAAAAACTCAACTGTTACAATTCAATATGGTAAAGATATCCCACCCCACCAAGTTAAGGAGCCAATGGGAGGCTTTTATGGATCTTTAAAAAAGTGATTCAAGTATCCATATGAAAGAAAAAATGGGTGAGAATACCACTGAGGGGGAAAAGAAGAAAGAGAGAGAGAGAGACAGACAGACAGACAGACAGAAAGAAAGAAAGGAAGGAAGGAAGGAAGGAAGGAAGGAGAAAGAAAGAAAGAAAAAGAAAGAAAGAAAGAAAGAGAAAGAAAGAGAAAGAAAGAAAGAAAGAAAGAAAACAAAGAAAGAAAGAAAGAAAGAAAGAAAGAAAGAAAACAAAGAAAGAAAGAAAGAAAGAAAGAAAGAAAGAAAGAAAGAAAGAAAGAAAGAAAGAAAGAAAGAAAGAAAGAAAGGAGGGAGGGAGGGAGGGAGGAAGGAAGGAAGAAGAGAGAGAGAGAACAGGCATTTCCTCCACCAGATATTAAGATAAATTTAAAACAACAGTAATTAAAAATGTGTGGCCCCAACAATAGCATAGACAGATCAGTATAACAGAAATAAATCCAAGAATAATTTTAAAGTTTTTAATATTTTATAAAGCGAGCATTTCAATTCACTGGGAAAATAAAAGATCATCTCATAGGAGGTCTAGGTCGGCAGGCTAACCCCCTGGGGAAAAATATTTTTAAAATTATTAGGACCTGTCTCATATCATCACGAAAACTTAAAAATACATATGGCTTACTTAACAAATTAAATGTAAAACATAAAATGAATTTTTTTTTTTAAATTTCAGTGATAAGGTCTCATTTGGTTGCCAAGCTGGAGTGCAGTGGCGCAATCATAGCTCACTGCTGTCTCAAACTCCTGGGATCAAGGGATCCTCCCATCTCAGCCTCTCAAGTAGCTGGGACTAAAGGTGTATGCTACCATGCCTGACTAATTTTTTTTTTTATTTCTTGTATAAAGGGATCTCACCATATTGCCCAGGCTGGTCTCAAACTCCTGGGCTCAAGCAGTCCTCCCTCCTTGCCTCCCAAAGTGCCGGGATTACAGGCCTGAGCCACCACACTCAGCCTGAAACCATTTTTTTAAAGCCCAAATACAATATGGGCAAATATAACATAAAGAAAGAAATCCAAAGGAAAAGATAGATTTGATTACATAAAAATGAAAAGATTCTGTCAAAATCACCACAAATAAAAATAAAACACCAATGATATGAGAGTGACGATTTCCCTACATCTTCTCCAATAGAAAATGGTAGCAAACTTCTGAATTGGTTGTATATTAATCAGGGTTCTCTAGAGGGACAGAACTAATAGGATAGATGAATATATGAAGGGGAGTTTATTAAGGAGTATTGACTCACATGATTACAAGGTGAGGTCCCACAATAGGACGTGTCTGCAAGCTGAAGAGCAAGGAAGCCAGTTCGAGTCCCAAAACCTTAAAAGTAGGGAAGCCAACAGTGCAGCCTTCAGTCTGTGGTTGAAGGTCCAAGAGTCCCAAAGCTGAAGAACTTGGAGTCTGATGTTCTAGGGCAGGAAGCTTCCAGCACGGGAGAAAGATGAAGGCCAGAAGACTCAGGCAGTCTAGTCTTTTCACATTCTTCTGCCTGCTTTTATTCTGGCTACACTGGCAGCTGATTAGATGGTGCCCACCCAGATTGAGGGTGGGTCTGCCTCTCCCAGGACCGACTCAAATGTTTATCTCCTTTGGCAACACCCTCACAAACACACCAGGAACAATACTTTGCATCCTTCAATCCAATCAAGTTGACACTCAATATTAACCATCACAGGTTTGAATGAATCTTTTTCTTTTCATTGCTTCTGGAAATTGAGCCATAGTTTGATGGGCCTTCCCAATTCATGTTTATAAAGGGACTTGCCTAGATCTTTTGTGACTTTACTTTTATATTTAAATTCATTTGGAATTATCCTAATGCAAGGTGTCAGGTATGAATCCAAATCATAACATCAGGTGCCCCAACATCACTTATTAAATAGTTCATGTTTTACCTACTGGTTTGAGATGACGCATGTATATCAATTAAATTCCTGTATGTATGTTTGCCCGCATATTTTAATGTCTGGTAGTTCTTATCCACTCCAAACATCGATTATTGGTCTTTTAAAGAATGTTCCTGGCAATTGTTGCTTGTGTATTTTCACATATGAAATTTGAGACCAATATGTCTAATTACAATTAAAAACCTGGCATTTCTACTGGAATCTCTTTAAATGTAAAAATTAACTTAAGTAGAATTGCTATCTTTGTAATGCTCAGTTTCCCTGATCCCAGAACATGATGTGACTTTCCACTTGCTCCTGTCTTACAGGCCCATCAACTGTGTTTTAAAGTTTTCTTCATATAGGTCATATAAAAACTATTGAAGTCTGTGTATTTGTTTTCTTTTCTTTTCATTTCTTTTCTTTCCTTTTTCTTTTTTTTTTTTCAAGATGGAGTCTCGCTCTCTCACCCAGGCTGGAGTGCAGTGGCCCAATCTTGGCTCACTGCAACCTC
Source organism: Homo sapiens (assembly GCF_000001405.40). Lineage (NCBI taxonomy): Eukaryota > Metazoa > Chordata > Mammalia > Primates > Hominidae > Homo > Homo sapiens. The sequence continues at coordinate 163,272,124 of NC_000006.12, forward strand.
CACCTCCCAGGTTCAAGTGATTCTCCTGCCTCAGCCTCCCAAATAGCTGGGACTACAGGCATGCGCCACCATGCCCAGCTAATTTTTGTATTTTTAGTAGAGACGGGGTTTCCCCATGTTGGTCAGGCTGGTCTTGAACTCCTGACCTCATGATCTGCGTCCCTCGGCCTTCCAAAGTGCTGGGATTACAGGCGTAAGCCACCGCGCCCGGCCTGTGTATTAATTTTCAACCCTACTACCTTACTGAATTTGTTTGTTTATTCAGTTAATTCTCAGGTTTTCCAGGTGTAAATTTTAGAAAATTTACAATCCTCCTAAATGTGACTATATTACCTTCTCCTTCCCAAGTTTTTTACCTCAAATTTATTTTTCTTGTAATAGCATTGACTATTTCCTATAGTAATAGCACTGTGTAATTCTTGTAATAGCACTGACTGTTTTCTATAGTATAATGTTAAATAACAGTGAAGATACTGGTGAGGGTGGAACTTTATTGAGCATATTTATGATATGTCTCCACCAAGCAGGGTGCTGGCTTTTGGACTGAGATAGATGTATTTTAACTTATAAAGGCAGTATTTCACTCTTCGTATTTTGTTTTTATCAATGGTGGTTGTTAAATATTGTCCAGTGCTTTATCAACATCCATGGAAATGATCATAATATTTTTTACTTATATCCTTAGTATGATAAAATGTATGAATAGAATTCATAGTAATGAACCATCCTTACATTTCTGAAACAAACATTTGGTAATGATGCATCATTCTTTTTTTTTTTTTTTTTGAGACGGAGTCTTGCTCTGTCGCCCAGGCTGGAGTGCAGTGGCGGGATCTCGGCTCACTGCAAGCTCCGCCTCCCGGGTTCACGCCATTCTCCTGCCTCAGCCTCCCAAGTAGCTGGGACTACAGGCGCCCGCCACTACGCCCGGCTAATTTTTTGTATTTTTTTAGTAGAGACGGGGTTTCACCGTTTTAGCCGGGATGGTCTCGATCTCCTGACCTCGTGATCCGCCCGCCTCGGCCTCCCAAAGTGCTGGGATTACAGGCGTGAGCCACCGCGCCCGGCCTGCATCATTCTTTTGATATGTGGCTGGATTTATTTTGCTAATATTCTGTTTAAGGATTTCATAAGTGACATTGGTCTATTGTTTGTTCTCTAAAATGTTTGTCTTTCAGTATCAATGTTATACTTCCTCCAGAGAAAAAAAATCTTAAGGTGTTTTTTTGTTTTGTTTTGTTTGTCGTTCTTGTTGTTGTTGTTGTTTCCCTAAGCTCTAGAAAAAGCACTTAATTTGTGGTATTCTCATGTCTGGACCTAGCGACTTTTTCTTTTTGATTAGACAAGAATAGCTTTTTGATAACCTTCTGTATTTTTCCCATAGAAATAAGACTTTTTAGATTTTCTGCCTCTTCAAGGGTCAGTTTTGACTAATTATATTTTCCTAAAAATTTCTTCAATTTATCCAAATTTCAAATGTATTTGCACAGTTAAACAAACTTATGTCCTGTGTTTCTTTTAATTCTCTTAATTTTCTGTTACTTTCCTCCCCCCTTGATATTTCCTGTTTGCAAGTTCTCCATTTTTTTTCTTGATTAAATTAGATATTGGCTCATATATTTCACTACATTTTTGTCTTTTAAAAGCCATCTTTTGGACTTATTTTGTAGTTCTGCTGTTTGGGTTTTCTAGTTAATTAATTTCAGCTTTTAAAATTTCTTATGATTTAATTCCATTTATTTTGTTGCTCCTTGCCTAACTTTTTGAGTTAGTTTAATTCCTTTTAAATTCTTACTTGTTAATTAAATTAAAATGTAAAGTAATGCATTTTTCTCTGAGCATTTTAGTGGCATATCATAACTTCTGATATGCAGTATCTTTATTATGTTGTTTTCTTTTTCTTTTTAGTTTTTTTTTATTATTATACTCTAAGTTCTAGGGTACATGTGCACAACGTGCAGGTTTGTTACATATGTATACATGTGCCATGTTGGTGTGCTGCACCCATTAACTCGTCATTTACATTAGGTAAATCTCCTAATGCTATCCCTCCCCGCTCCCTCCACCCCCCAACAGGCCCTGGTGTGTGATGTTCTCTGCCCTGTGTCCAAATGTTCTCATTGTTCAGTTCCCACCTATGAGTGAGAACATGCAGTGTTTGTTTATTTTGTCCTTGCGATAGTTTGCTGAGAATGATGGTTTCCAGCTTCATCCATGTCCCTACAAAGGACATGAACTCATCCATTTTTATGGCTGCATAGTGTTCCATGGTGTTTATGTGCCACATTTTCTTAATCCAATCTATCACTGATGGACATTTGGGTTGGTTCCAAGTCTTTGCTATTGTGAATAGTGCCTCAATAAACATACGTGTGCATGTCTCTTTATAGCAGCATGATTTATAATCCTTTGGGTATATAGCCAGTAATGGGATGGCTGGGTCAAATGGTATTTCTAGTTCTAGATCCTTGAGGAATCACCACACTGTCTTCCACAATGGTTGAACTAGTTTACAGTCCCACCAACAGTGTAAAAATGTTCCTATTTCTCCACATCCTCTCCAGCACCTGTTGTTTCCTAACTTTTTAATGATCACCGTTCTGTTGTTTTCTATTCGTTCTATAATTTGGGACTGTACTTCCTCTTTGATGTAGAAGTTGTTTAAATAAAATCAAGTTACTTGGTATGTACCTTTGCTTCTGTTAAATGTACTTCTTTTTCTTTTCTTTCTTTCTTTCTTTTTTTTTTTTTTTTGAGATAGAGTCTCACTCTGTTGCCCAGGCTGGAATGATGCAGTAGCATGATCTCAGCTCACTGCAACCTCTGCTTCCCAAGTTCAAGCAATTCTCCTGCCTCAGCCTCCCAAGTAGCTGAGATTACAGGCGTGCACCACCAGACCCAGCTAGGTTTGTTTTTTGTTTTGTCTTTTTAATAGAGACGGGGTTTCACCATTTTGGTCAGGCTGGTCTCAAACTTCTGACCCCAAATGATCTGCCCATCTCAGCCTCCCAAAGTGCTGGTATTACAGGCATGAGCCACCATGCCCAGCCCTTATTTTTCTATTATTTGATATATCTGCTTAAAATAATGTTCTTTAATACCCAACTATTGCAAATGAGACAGCAGCAAATGAACTCTATTTTCCATCTTTTTCTCCCTTCTTCCTCTTATTTTTTTGTTAGCAGCATCATTTCTACGTTACCAAAGCTTTTCATATGTATGTTCTGTTTTGCCACCCACATTGTTTTCATCTTAGCTCTTCAGTAAATATACTCAACACTCAGCACTGATCATTTTTGTCATCGCTAGGTTGCCTGAGTATTGTCCTCTAGTCATTTTCTCATAAAGGCAAGAAATGATATTTCCCAAATGTCACATTTTTTTCAAAACTGTTTGCCTTTAGACTTTTTATTTGAAGAACAGTCTTACTGGATCTAAAATTTCTGACATATTTTATTTCCTTTGGTTTGTATAGATATTTCTCCACTGTCCTTCGACCTAGAAGGTAGCTGCGGAGAATTCTGAGACCAACATAAGTTTTCTCCCTTTTAAGTGACTTGGTCTTTTTTTGTCTGGCTGTTCAATTATTTTTCTTTATATTTAAAATTCAGTAACATAGGATATGGCTTTGTGAGATAATATAAAGGATCAGATTTTCCAACTAAGCTCTCAAGAATTAGACCTGCCTCCTTATTAATAATTCAAAGGACATAGTGACTGCAAGAGACGGGGAAAGCATGAAGTCAAAGTGTCAGTGCAGCTCCTCAAGTCCTTTCCTGCCACACTGGGACACTGTTCCCGGCTGAGCAGCTGAGGACTCCAGGTGATGTGCGAAGAGTATTGCTTTTTTTTTTTATTATTCTCTTTCCTTCCTTCCTTCCTTCCTTCTTTCTTTCTTTCTTTCTTTCTTTCTTTTTTATTTAGACAGAGCCTCACTTTATCACCCAAGCTGGAATGCAGTGGTGTGATCTTGGCTCACTGCAGCCTTGACCTTCCAGGCTCAAATGATCCTCCTGCCTCAGTCTCCCACATAGCTGGGACTACAGGCGAGCGCTACCATGCCTGGCTAATTTTTGTATTTTTTTGTAGAGATGGGGTTTTGCCATATTGGCCAGGCTGGTCTTGAACTCCTGGGCTCAAGTAATCTTTCCTCCTTGGCCTCCCAAAGTGCTGGAATTACAGGCATGAGCCACTGAGCCTGGCCTTAAAATAGGGTATTACTTTCAATCATGAAACAGCACAAGGTATATCCAATAATTGGCATTTTCCTTCATTTTGTTTCCACTAGGTTCGAAGTGACCATTTCTCTTTTCCTTCCTTTCTCCCCAGACATCCTCAGGGTAGAGAGGATGAGGGACAGACCAGCTTCTAACCCTTCATTCCTACCTGGTGTTGATCATTCTGGGTCAGTTTTCCTTGACATAGGGTGTGCTCTTCCAATATGTGGGTTGCCGTGGTCGGAATGTTTGTGTGACTCCAAAATGCATATGTTGAAATCTAATGTCCAACGCAAAGTATTAAGAAGTGAGGCCTTTGGGGGGTGATTAGATCATGAGGGCTCTGCCCTCATGAATGATATTAACACCCTTAGAGAATGAGCTTGAGGGAGCCCTTTTTGCACTTTCACCACGTGAGGACACATAGAAGCAACCATCTATGAAGAACAGGCCCTCACCAGACAATGACTCTGCTGGTGCCTTGATCTTGCACTTCCCAGCCGTCAGAACTGTGAGCAATAAATTTATGTTGTTTACAAATTACCCAGTCTAAGATATTTGGTTATAGCACTTCAAACTGACTAAACAACAGGTTCAAGTCTTCAGTTATTTCAAGAATAATTTCTTTAATGAAATATTTTCATATTCGTTCTGTTTCAGTGTATTCGCTGTCCTCAGGAACTCCAAGTATGCATGTTTTTAAAATCTCCATGCCTGTCTTCTCTACCTCTCACTTTATCTTTCATCATTTTATTTAATGTTTTACAATTTTTTTTATTTCAATAGTTTTTGGGGAACAGGTGGTGTTTGGTTACATGAATAAGTTCTTTAGTGGTGATTTCTGAGATTTTGGTGCACCCATCACCTGAGCTGTGTACACTGTACCCAATGTGTAGTCTTGTATCCCTCACCACCACGTACCCTTCCCCCTGAGTCCCCAAAGTCCAATGTATCATTCTCATGCCTTTGCGTCCTCATAGTTTAGCTCCCATGTATGAGTGAGAACATATGATGTTTGGTTTTCCATTCCTGAATTACTTCACTTAGAATAATAGTCTCCAATTCCATCCAAGTTGCTGTGAATGTCGTTATTTCGTTCCTTTTTATGGCTGAGTAGTATCTCATGGTGTGTGTGTATGTGTGTATATATATATACACACATACACACACACACACATATACACATATATACATATATGTGTATATATGTGTATGCATATGTCTATTTTGTCTATATATGTATACATATATACATATACATACTTTGTCTATATATGTATACATATATACATACGTGTATATATATGTATATGTGTGTGTGTGTATATATATCTGTATCTATATCTATATCTATATATATAGATATATATCACATTTTCTTTATCCACTAGTTGATTGATGGGCATTTGGGCTGATTCCATGTTTTTGCAATTGTAAATTGTGCTGCTATAAGCATGCATGTACAAGTATCTTTTTCATGTCATGACTTCTTTTCCTTTGGGTAGGTACCTAATAGTGGGATTTCTGGATCAAACCACAGATCTACTTTTAGCTCTTTAAGGAATCTCCACACTATTTTCCTTAGTGGTTGTACTAGTTTACATTCCCACCAACAATGTAAAACTGTTCCCTTTTCACCACATCCATACCAGCATCTATTATTTTTTTATTTTATGATTATGACCATTCTTGCAGGAGTGAGGTGGTATTGCATTGTGGTTTTGATTTTCATTTCCCTGATAATTAGTGATGTGGAGCATTTTTCCATATGCTTGTTGGTCATTCATATATCTTCATTTGAGAATTGTCTATTCATATCCTTAGCCCACTTTTTGATGGGATTGCTTGATTTTCTCTTTCTGATTTGTTTGAGTTCTTTGTAGATTCTGGATATTAGTACTTTATCAGGTGTATATAGTGTGAAGATTTTCTCTCACTCTGTGGGTTGTCTGTTAACTCTGCTGGTTCTTTTGCTGTGCAGAAGCTTTTTAGTTTAATTAAGTCCCATCTATTTATTTTTGTTTTTGTTGAATTTGCTTTTGGGTTCTTGGTCATGAAGTCTTTGTCTAAGTCAATGTCTAGAAAAGTTTTTCCAATGTTATCTTATAGAGTCTTTATGGTTTCAGGTCTTAGATTTAAGTCTTTGATCCATCTTGAGTTGATTTTTGTATAAGGTAAGAGATGAGGATCCAACTTCATTCTTCTACATGTGGCTTGCCAATTATCTCAGCACCATTTGTTGAATAGGGTATCCTTTCCCCACTTTAAGTTTTTGTTTGCTTTGTCAAAGATCAGTATGCTGTAAGTATTTGGCTTTATTTCTGGGTTCTCTATTCTGTTCCATTGGTCTATGTGCCTATTTTTATACCAGTACCATGCTGTTTTGGTAACTATGGCCTTACATTACAGTTTGAAGTCAGGTAATGTGATGCCTCCAGATTTATTCTTTTTCCTTATTCTTGCTTTGCTTATGTGGGCTCCTTTTTAGTTCCATATGAATTTTAGTATTGTTTTTTCTACTTCTTTGAAGAATGATGGTGGTATTTTGATTGGAATTTCTTTGTTTCTAGATTGCTTTTGGCAGTATGATCATTTTCACAATATTGATTCTACCCACCCATGAGCATGGGATGTATTTCCATTTGTTTTTGTCATCTATGATTTCTTTCAGCAGTGTTTTGTAGTTTTCCTTGTAGAGGTCTTTCATGTCCTTGGTTAGGTGTATTCCTAAGTATTTAGTTTTTTCTTTTTGCACCTCTTGTGAAAGGGGTTGAGTTCCCGATTTGATTCTCAGCTTGGTCGCTGTTGGTGTATAGCAGAGCTACTGATTTGTGTACATTAATTTTGTATCTTGAAACTTGGCTGAATTCCTTTACAAGTTCTAGAAGCTTTTTGGATGAGTCTTGGGTTTTCGAGGTATACCATCATTATCAGCAGCAAACAGCAACAGTTTGATTTCCTCTTCACCAATTTGGATGCCCTTTATTTCTTTCTCTTGTCTGATTGCTCTGGCTAGGACTTCCAGTACTGTGTTGAATAGATCTTCAATCATTTTACATTCCCTATTGCAATTTGACTTTGCTTAATTTTTCTAATTTCTAGTATCTATCTGTTTACCAAGTTTTCCCTAGTGCAATTCTTCCTTTGCTCCTGTCATTTTGATTTCCATTTCTATGATTTATTATTCTTTTAGCTCTTTCCTGAGTGCTGTCAACTTGCTTTTCATTTTCTCCAGTAGTCTTGCTGTCTGTGCCCTGAGATCTTGTGTTTTTGCTTTAAGGGCTCTTAATATTGAATTCAATCAGAGGTTTAATATTCAATAAGAGATTTCTTGGCAGTTGTGTCTGTGAGTATGTGTGAATATCCTTCCTCTAATAATTTTCACTACTCTTTCCTGTATTTTTTTCTTATTATATCAATGCTATGCTGGCTTTTGTTTCAAATTATTCACTATCACATAAGTCATATTTTCCAGCTAATTGAAAGAGCTTGCTTGAGAGAAGGAGAGTCAACTCCATGAAGATAGATTATTCCTATGTTATTGAATTACCTGGGAAGAATTATCTTCCCAAATCAACCTAGCAGGGCATCCACCCTCAGCCTGCACTGCGCATCCTTGTTTTGGGATCTGTTGGTCTGTCCTGAGGTTCATCCTTTGCACTGGAAGCTTCTGAGTGAGCCCTCCCTCCAGAGGCAGAGATTGTTTTCGCTCGGGTCTGCTGCCACCTGGCCAGCTGGCCCTTCCTTCACCAAGCGTCTCTGCTCCACTTCCACTCTGCATGGCCTCTGCTCAGTCTCCTTTCCATCCTCCCAGATCTAGCAGCTCATGCTGTGTGCATGGGATGTGGAGTTATCACTTTAGGGAGTGAGTCTGCCACCTCTAGAAGCTGTGTTGTTGCTGCCGTGTCCTGAGCCCTGCCTCCTCTGAACGTCCTGCTCTGCACCCCCATGCTAGCACCACCACAGTTCCCCAGTTGTGGCTCTTGAGCTGGCCCCACCTGTCTGGGCTGTCTCAACAGTTTTGGGTTTGCCTGGATTTCACTGCATCTTGAGCTGGTAGGGGTTATACTGTGCACCACCCCATAGGCACACACAGAGCCAGGCAGTGTGGTGAACAAAGGCAAATGTTCAATGAACACTCATTTCAAGGTCTTCACTCTAAATGAGAAGATCCCATCTATCCCATGTTGTCTTAGTCTGCTCAGGCTGCCATAGCCAAACACCAGAGACTGAGCGGCTGGAACCACAAAAATGTATAATCTCACATTTGTGGAGACAGGAAGTCCAAGATCAAGGTTCGGCCAATTTAGTATCTGGGGAGGGCTCTTTTCCTGGCTTGCAGGTGACCACCTTCTCACTGTGCACTCACATGGCCTTTCCTGGATGCATGTGCACAGGGAGAGAGCGGGAGCAAGCTTTCTGGCACCTCCTTATAAGAACATGAATCCTATTAGATCATCTGACCTCGTTTGGACTTAATTTCTTCCTTAGAGGTCCCATCTCCAGATACAGCCACACTGGGGGTTAGGACTTCAACATATGAATTTGGGGAACACAAACATTGGTTTATAACACATGTAAACCACAACTTATGGCAGGAAATGATGTCATGAGAAGTAGAATTAAAATCACCAAGGAGGGAATGGAAGAGAAGATGCTCCTTCCCGTCAGATTATGAAAAGGGTATCATTTGAACTGAGATGAGCAAGATGGGTAGGCTTTGTGCATCCGGAGATGGGGGGATGCTCCAGGTGCAGAAGCCAGTGCAAGCACAAGTGGGCAAACATAAGGCACTAGACTCTGGGCTGGAGCGGTGGAGAGGTGGGGCCAGCTCAAGAGCCACAACTGGGGACCTGTGGTGGTGCGAGCTTGGGGGTGCAGAGCAGGACGTTCAGAGGAGGCAGGGCTCAAGAAACGGCAGCAAGGCTACTGGGAAAAACACCCTCAGGAGTGAGGAAGAGCAGATCATTGCCATTGAAGAAGCCCTTGGCTCCTGTGGAGAGATCTGAGACTTTGCCTCAGCACAGTCCTCAAAGGTATCTGCATGGGATGGAAGTGGGGTGGCAGCAGCTGGCATGGCTGGAGCTGTACCTTAGAAAGGGTAAGCTTGCAACACAATGTAAAATACATTGGACAGTAAGGCCAGATCAAAACATTGGCGTACAACTGCTAAAAAATAACAATAGCCAAAAATCAAGATGAATTTTTTTTTTTGCTATATGAAATCTAGATAGTGTACATTTAATTTCATTTAATTTCAGAAGTAGAAATCTATAGCAAGATCTCTAGTAAATGAACCTTCAAATTTATCATTATGAAGACAAAATTTAAACATCTTATATTCAATAATTACCAATTCTAAGCAAAATTCAGAATCCATAGAGTAATAATATATAATTGAAATACAGTGTATATGAGTCAGGCTACATTGAGCTAATCTTTTGATCTAGTAATTCAACAGCATAGGAAAAGGAATGAGGCCCACCCAATTTTGGCATGCATTCCAAATTCAATTAACTTTAACCGATATCTTGACAGCATTCTTTCCTTTCTTATTAAAACAAAATCTCTTAAATGTTCAAGATAAAATCAGATGAGTATCATGTGCACAAGAAGCAGATCAAGTTTTTCAAGAATCTTTAAAAATAATGTAGATTAAATCAATAGAAATAGAAGCATTAATTTGAATATTCAGAACTTTTTTAAAATTATTGTTTGGGTCACTTGAAAAAAAGGGCAATTTTCTTTTCCTTATTGAATAAAGCATTTGGATAATATTAAGACATTTAAAGTAAGCCACCAGAGAAGAAAAATTTCACCATAGTTACGCTCATTGTAAGTCAAAGACTTTGAGGTGATATACAAATTATGCTGATGTTAATATACACACAGACTTAAGAAAAAGAAATTTTCCCACCCCACCAAGTAATTAGCAGGTCAAATCTGTCCTCTTAGAGCCAAAAAGTGAAAATCTAAATGAAGTCCTTGGTCAAGAAGTCTTGACTGAAAAGCTACCTCCTGTGTCTCCAATTTACCCCCTACAAAAATATTTATTTCTCTTATCTCTTTATCAAAAGAAATTCATCTGGGCCAGGTGCAGTGGCTTAGGCCTGTAATCCCAGTACTTTGGGAGGACGAGGCAGGTGGATCACCTGAGGTCAGGAGTTCGAGACCAGCCTGACCAACATGGTGAAACCCCATCTCTACTAAAAATACAAAAAATTAGCTGGGCATGGTGGTGTGCGCCTGTAATCCCACCTACTTGGGAAGCTGAGGCAGGAGAATCACTTGAAACTGGGAGGTGGAGGTTGAAATGAGCTGAGATCACACCACTGCACTCCAGCATGGGCAACAAGAGTGAAACTCCATCTCAAAAAAAAAAAAAAAAGAAAAGAAATTCATCTTAAAGGTTTTGGATTTAGCCATGACAAGGCTTACACCATCCAGTGTGTACTTTTCTTCACTTTCTTTTAGACATAAAAAACAATGGGAAACAACAATTTCTTTCTGCAAACACATGGCCCCAAATTGCTCAATCATCAAGCCCTTCTACAAGGAAAGCCTTTGCACCCATTGCTACAATGACCTGCCACTGGGGCAAATTTTGTGTAAACATGTAAATTTTAGTGGTTATCATTTTATTAAAAAAAGAAGCTCTTGAATGTTTTTTACTACTGATTCTTGGCATTCTGTGTCTTTTGTGTATGTATAATTTAAAAATCACTTTGAGCATTTATGCACATTACTATATGACATGATAATTTTCATGCAAAAAATCAAAATCAAGTTTTAGATTAATTTAAAGGGTATCTGTAATATACACTCAGTTTATAAATGTGGGTGATGTGAATGTAAAGAGACAGACATGACCTTTCCTGACTCTGGTTGGTGGCAGATGTGTATTTTAGTGTCTGAGCTTTCCAGCCATGAACACAACATTCCTGATGATTTCCAAAAAGCGCTTAACTCGAAGATGTGGAAATTGCAATGAAGGAATCAGTCCTTCTAACTTGTAGCCAGCAATTATATATCCAAAAAGATTGGAACTAGGGATCAAACCTGAACAAAGAAATAGATATGCAATTTGATTAAGATTATGTTTTTCAGATTAGGATGCCATAAACACAATGTTATGGATAAATCAATGTGTTAGGTTTTTCCAATAAAAACAAATTTAGGGCCGGGCGCGGTGGCTCACGCCTGTAATCCCAGCACTTTGGGAGGCCGAGGCGGGTGGATCATGAGGTCAGGAGATCGAGACCATCCTGGCTAACAAGGTGAAACCCCGTCTCTACTAAAAATACAAAAAAATTAGCCGGGCGCGGTGGCGGGCGCCTGTAGTCCCAGCTACTCGGGAGGCTGAGGCAGGAGAATGGCGTGAACCCGGGAAGCGGAGCTTGCAGTGAGCCGAGATTGTGCCACTGCAGTCCGCAGTCCGGCCTGGGCGACAGAGCGAGACTCCGTCTCAAAAAAAAAAAAAAAAAAAATTTAGGCCAGATGCGGTGGCTCACACCTGTGATCCCAGCACTTTGGGAGGCCAAGGCCGGTAGATCACTTGAGGTCAGGAATTTGAGGCCAGCTTGACCAATGTGGTGAAACCCCATCTCTACTAAAAATACAAACTTAGCTGGGCATGGCGGTGCATGCCTGTAATCCCAGCTACTTGGGAGACTGAGGCAGGAGAATCGCTCAAACCCAAGAGGCAGAGGTTGCAGTGAGCCAAGATCAAACCATTGCACTCCAGCCTGGGCAACAAGAGCAAAACTCTGTCTCAAAAAAAAAAATTAAATAGGGTTTAATAAACAGATTTATTTTGAATTTTTAATTATTGCAATCCAAAGAATTATACAATTATAAAACTGTAGGTTTTCTGGAAGATTATCTTGTCCCTCTTGCCATCCTGCATAAAAACAAGCCAAGGTTCAGAGAGTTTGCTGCCAGCCCGGGGCCAGGCCAGCAGCTGCTGGACGTTCTGACCTCAGTCCCAGACTGTCAGCTCCTTTAGAGGGGAGTCATCTTCCGTTCCAGCCGGTATCACTGCCCTCTGGCCCCACAGAGTTCACGGGCATGAATTTCTTCCATGCACATGCTGAAGAACAGTGGTCTGGCAGAGAGCCTTGAACTAGGAACTGGGAGATGTGAGTGATTATTAGAAAATTGCTCATTAAAGCTCATAGTGTGTTTAACAGATTAATGTTATTTTATTTTAGATATTTTTATTTTAGATTTTTAAAACCATCTTATTCTAGATGTTTTAAAGCAAGAAATAAAACCGGTATTGAAACACATGACATCACATAAGTGCTCTTCCAGCATCTTGATGGTATTTGAGTTCTGGATGTCCAGAGCCGCCCCCAACCCCCGCTCCCCGCCTCCCTTCTGATGCCTCTCAGGGACTCGGCCTTCATGTGTCCAAAGGCAAATTCCTGCCCTTCTATCTCCTCAAGCCTTTGTCCTCCCCTGTTGCCCCTGCTAAAGCTGTTGCCATCTATCCCTTTGCACAAGAGAAATACAGGTATCCCTCTCTCTCACTTTATCAAATTCAACACCATGTTCTAGCTGTTTTTTAATTTTCCAAAATAGGTCTTCATTTCTCTACCACCCTAAACCAAGCCACTATCATCACATTGCCTGGGGCAGTGCAGTAGCCATTGACCTTCACACCCATCAAATATTGTCCAAACAGCAGCCTCGACTCAAAATCAGTCATGCACTGGTCCACTTGAGCCTTCCTTGGCCTCCTTTTGGCCCTTAGAATAAGGTGACCACCCATCCCAGGGACCTCAGGGCCAGCATCACCTGACTCCTGCCTGCTTGTCCAGCCTCCCCCAGACACCCCTCTCCCCACCCCACCTGCAACTCCACCGGACTCATCTCTGCTTCTGAACAGATCCAACTCTCCCCTACCGCAGGGCCTTTGCGCAAACCCTTCTCTTTGCCTGTGATCCTTTACGCCCCTGTCTCCTTCCTTGTTCGTCCCTCCCGCTTCCCCTGACACATCCCCACTCGGGCAGCACCCCCACCCCGCCAGCCCCAGTCCAGGCTAGATCTCCCGTCTAAGCTCCCACAGCACAGTAGCAGTGATGATTTATTTAAAGCTCCTCTTCCCTGCTAGAGTGAATCCCCATGAGGTCAAAGACCGGATCTTTTCTGTCAACCACTGTATCCTCAGTTCCTAGCACAATCCTGACATCTTTAATCTCTGCTTCACATCATGGCGGGAGAAGCCAAAGGGCCCCGGAGATATTTGCCAGAGAAGCAATTAGGAAAATGGCCCAGCCCAGAGAGCTGGAGCAGAAATGAAGTCCAAGGAAAAGAATGCACCGTCCGTGATGGGGAAGGAATAATAACCACAGCTCCTGCACAGGCAGAGCAGCTCGGATGCCTGTGTCATAAGGAGCAGAGCTGTCATGGATGCATATACTATGTGCGGCTCTGTATAAATTCCTCTCAGGTAGATGACAGCATCTAGCAAAGAACATTGCCCACAGTAGGTGCACCATCCGCCTCGACCGGTTTGATTTGACTGTAGACTCTGAAAGGAGCCTCACTGTTCAGCTAGGCTGCTGGAAGGGACTGAATGACTCCATCCCTTCATGACAGAGGCTCCTTGTCTTGAACTTGGAGGAAAATGCTCTATTGCATGGTTCTGTCGTGTAAATCACTTTTAAAAATTATTCTTCCCTCTATAAAAGTATGCATATTTTGGAGCATGATCTATCTTTATGCAAGTGGAGGGGTGAACGGAATATTTCATCAGGATAACCATTTACTGACAATTCATGCTATTTTATAGTCCATGTCTTTTGGAATGGATGGGAGTTTGTTATTCAGTGGTTTATAAAATCTTCCAGACTGAATGATGAGCTCACATCTGTTACAATTGGTATGGAAAGTAAAACTGGCGTGAGTTGTCCATAAATATTTATTGTCAGGAAATATCAGTATGTACAGCTGTTTTTAGGAAAATAATGCCTATTTTATTATTGATACATAAAGTGGGACATTTATGTTTACTACCCATAATAACACAGGTAGTAATAAAACAATATTCTGTAAAGAGTATCAGAGAGGCAGAAACAAAGATGAAATTTTGGTTTCTAAAGCAAGTTTTACAAAAACATTATTTAAAGACCATACTACTATTCTCAATCCCTTTCAAAGTGTTAAAAAACTTTAAGTCAGTCAAGAATTGGCAACTAATTTTCAGAATCAATAATATGATCATAATTTCTGCCATAGAAAATGGCTTTGCTGTCAAAGACCATCTTGAGAACAGGCAGTATATCCATGCTGAATTCAACAGTTCTTACCTCCTAATGTGAGCCTTGGTCATCTGGAAAGAAACAGGCTCCTTACTGAGTTCCATATCGTCCCTTCCTGCTCCCCAAAAGGCTTTTTTGAGGGAAAACTTTCCGCAACAGGTCACTTTAAAACTACATAAATATGTATATGTGGTATGTAAGTGTATGGATGTTTATGTACATGTGTGTATGTATATGCATATGTGTATTTATGTGTGTGTTTATGTGTACACGTGTAGATGTATGTGCATATATGTAGGTGTGTATTTGTATATGGATATGTATGTGACTGTGGATGTGTGCTTGCATATGTGTAGATATGTGTATATGTGTTTGTGTATCTGTATATATGTATATGTACATATGTGAATGTGTGTATGTGCGTGTGTGTGTGTGTGTCTTCCCTCAAAGACCATCTGATTATTTTTCCCATGCAGCAGATAGTACATGAGTAGTTTGCACCTAACTTTTAAAAGTCTTATGCGTATGGTTGGTGGCTGTCGGAACGAAAGTGATTTTTCAGGACAATGTCAGGCTGCAGAATCAAGGGCCCTGAGGAGAGAAATGGCAGGCAAATGCTGGGGTCGCATTTGCTTTGGTGTTCCTTGCAGGTCAAAAAGACAGCAAGCTCTTGCCTTTCACTTTGCAAAATCTGAACAACGTTTTGGAAACCTGGTCCCCACTGCTCTTACAGAAGGGAAAGGGACCCCTCACCAGGAAGAGCCAGTTTCCCAACCCCAGAAGCCGGGGACCCTCAGCCCTCCCAGCAGCCTTCGCCGCCACGTTTGTCCCCACAGGCCGCACACACGGCCATGCTCACCTCCTCCTGCGGAGGCTGCCCAGGCCCCTCACAGCCCGCAGGATCTGGGTCACACCTGAGCCAGCTCTGGGGACACTTCGAGGCTCTGCATTTCTTACATGTTTCTTTTCAATCCTGACCTTCTCTTAGATCACCCCAAAGGGACACCCCGAGCCCTGACCATTTACACAGATAGTCTTTTAACACTTGGAATGGAAGCATTTGAGCAAAGAACACCAGAAACAGAACACCAGCCAGTCTCCTGCCAGATGGATGACATTATTTTCCACTCATTTAACAGAGAAAAATAATTGAACGAGGAACCGGGGTACATGTGTTGCTCTGAGTGTGGCGTGCGCAGTTGGGAAACCTCAGAACGGTGTGGCCCGACCGTGGCCATGCTGAGGGTTTTGTGGTCTGGAGGTTCCTGGAGATTTTCAGGATCTCACATTCAGAATCCCACATTTTCAGAAACACCACAGAAGAAGCTATTTATTTGGCTTTGTTGTTTTCTTAAAAATTAAGGAAATGATTTGGAGAGACTAGGCCTCCGGGTTCTTGCTTTTCTTTTCCCCACAGAATTTAGACATTATTCAAACATTTATTCTGTATCATCTTTTTAGTTTGTTTTTCAAAAAAGACATTTATCTTGTGATAATGGCTAGTTGCAGAAGCTCAGTGAGATTCTCAGGTTTTCTTAATTGCAATTTCGTCTCATGCGCTTGAAATGCCAAGCACTAATGGTGTTTGAAGTGGGGCTGGCGTCTGATTCACCTTCAGAGTTATCTTGAGCTTTCAGCCACAAGAATTTTAAACCTGACAGTGGTAAAGAAATGCCCTTCTTTCCTGATTGCTCCGTGTGCGTGGTATTCTGTAACCGAGGTCATTAAAGGTAGACGTCACAGTGGCAAGAGCCCGACAGGCCTGTCTCCTGGTGTGCCACCTCCATACTTTGGGACTTACCTGTTACAGTTTCTTGGCCTTGATTTCCTCATCTGAAAAACAGGAGAATAAGCTCTGTTAAGCAGGATCAGTACAAGGATTAGATTCACTTATTAACATTCTCCTACATTTGAAATTCTAAATGAGCACAAAAGAGTTTCGCGACTGTCATACCTTTGAATGGGAACTAATAAAACTAAAAATCCCATGTTGCCAAGTTTATAATGCTGATTCATTTTATGCATCACTTTGCCTGAAGTTTCAGCATAAAATGTGCTCTCGATTATCTAAGAAAAATAATGCATAGAGAACTTTTTATGACCAAATACTCGTCTATACCACTCAACACTTTTGAATGGCTTTCCCAATTACCTTCCCGGAATATACAGGGACCATAAATTAGTTCTACAGAATATCTAAAATAACTACAATTTAGGGGGTATGTGTGTAGCAAAACATCATGGAATGCACTCTAAAGAGAAATACATGTGAATTCAGATTGCATGTTCTTCAGGAGGGACTTATTCAGATGCGGCCCTTCCTTAGTGCAATTAACTGTGAACTGCCACAGTGAGATCAGAAGGTCGTGCCCAGCAAAGGTGAAACACAGTGATAAAAGCAGTCCCTCCATCAGCGAGGACAGGCTCAAGGTCAGCCAGTTGCCATTGAGATGCTAGACTGTGGCATGCAGATGGGAGCCTGGAACTGGTCGCTGGAAACCACACCAACAAATTTGGAATTCCGTGCACTGATATCTACCCCACATGAGCAGAAACTGAGTTTGGCCGTGGACCGACTGAACCCTGCGCCAGTTCCCATGTGTCAGGACTCGCTGGTGTGCAGAGTATTTGCTGCGGCTTTGATCTCATTGTTTTAGTTTACTGGCTCTCCTGATTTGGCATTAAATGCGTTAGAACCTAATCAGTTCCAAGATGGCTTTCACGATGCGGTTCCTTTTCCTAACTATTTCCAAATCAATTCACTTAGGGACATTATAGGTTAAGAGTAGTTGTTGTTCTCATATGAATCTTGAGTCAGTTTTTCTTTTGTAAATAACTTCATTCTTTTTCATTGACCTCCTCAATATTTATTTCTAAATATTTTTAATTTTTTAAAATACTTAAGATTTCATTTGAAATAGAATTAAATGAAAGTTAAGGAAGCCTTATCATGAATCCAGTTCTGCAATGTCATTCTATTAATAGCTGCAGTCTAAATACCAGTCCCAGCCATCACAGCATGTCCATCGGGTAAATCCTCACTACGTGTGGCGCATGTTGTCCTCCCCAGCCCTGTACTAGTCCAGGAGGGAGTTATTCTGCTCCCTGCTTTACCTATGAGGAAATGAAGACCGGGAGTGGGGACAGGGGGAGCTGGTGCCAGGGCAGGGACAGAGCTTGTGCCCCCCACCTTGACCACAGCACCACTCAGTCCTCTTCTGTTTTTTTTTTCTTTTTCTTTTTTATTTTATTTTATTTTGAGGTGGAGTTTCACTCTTGTTGCCCAGGCTGGAGTGCAGTGGTGCCATCTCGGCTCACCGCAACCTCCGCCTCCCAGGTTCAAGTGATTCTCCTGCCTCAGCCTCCCGAGTAGCTGGGATTACAGGCATGCACCACCACACTTGGCTAATTTTGTATTTTTAGTAGAGACTGGGTTGGTCAGTTTATAATGACCACGTTAGTCAGTCTGGTCTCGAACTCCTGACCTCAGATGATCTGCCCACTTCGGCCTCCCAGAGTGCTGGGATTACAGGCATGAGCCACCACGCCCGGCCTCAGTCCTCTTCCAGTTACCCACTACCCTACCCAGAAGTCACGGCCAATCCCCACCCTGTGCCAACTCCAAATTCACTTAATTATCATACGCACATGTGCGCATGCACGCGCGCGCGCGCACACACACACACACACACACACACACACACACACACACACACACAGCAATCACTGAGTGACCATCTTAATGGGGATTGGGTTACATTCATAACCTATTTTGTAGGAGAGAATTTTCCAAGGGACCAAAAACGTTGACCAGACCCAAATCTAAAAAGTATTGCTGCCCCTGCGCCTGTGAAAATGCAAGGGACTGAGCCAATGGGAAGAAGGTGGGGAGAAGGGGCTGAGCGCCCCGCAGCCTGCCCCCACCCCTGGACCTGCGGCTGCCTCCACTTACTCCTGGGAACCTGGGCAAACCACTTCACTTCTCCAAGCCTCCATTGCCTCAACTTTCAGTAAGGATGCTAATCATAGCACCTGCCTCACAGTTGAGTTACTAAGATTAGATGAAATAATGCATTTAGGCACAGTTCAGCTCCTGGCACTAGAAAATATTCAACGGTGTTAGCACTGTCGCTATTACTGTGTCATGACTCAATGGGAGAGCACTTAAGCTAGTGCCTTCCACACAATGGTCACTTAAAAATGTCCTTAGTTAAATGAAATCGGATGCGCATGAGTTCAGCGTGAGGTCCGGGTCAGGGAGAGGAAGGGGCATTGGCGGGTAGGGTTGCGTCGGTGGGGCCTCCTCTCTGCCTCTGACTGGCCTCTTTGCCCCTCTGCTTTCCTGGTCAAAGGTTCGTAAGCAAACGGTTTCTCCCACTCCTCGGAACATGGACTTCCTTTCTGGAAGGCACTGGCCTGGCCATTTACCTCAAATGCCGGTGTTCCTGGCTTCAGTGCCCGGCTGCCCAGCGGCCTCTCCCTGAGTCTGGGTTCTCAGGTTTCTGCTCCGCCTCTAGATGACCCCTCTGCCCGCCAGAGCTGGCCTGCGGGTCACCCTGCAAGATGACCCTCTGCCTGCCCGAGCTGGCCTGCGGGTCACCCTGCAAGATGTCCCCTCTGCCCGCCAGAGCTGGCCTGCGGGTCACCCTGCAAGATGACCCCTCTGCCCGCCAGAGCTGGCCTGCGGGTCACCCTGCAAGATGACCCTCTGCCCGCCAGAGCTGGCCTGCGGGTCACCCTGCAAGATGACCCCTCTGCCCGCCAGAGCTGGCCTGCGGGTCACCCTGCAAGATGACCCTCTGCCTGCCCGAGCTGGCCTGCGGGTCACCCTGCAAGATGACCCCTCTGCCCGCCCGAGCTGGCCTGCGGGGCATCTGCAGCCCACGGGGCCAGAGACCCGGATGCAACTATGGGCCCGCCCCGTTTCCTCAGGCAGCTAGATTTCTCTTCATATTCCTTTTCCAACAAACGTCTCTTGAACATCGACTGAGTTGATAGACACCACGGAGCCTAATTCTTGTAAATGAGATATTTTCACAGTAACTTCAGAACGTGGTATTTGTCAAGGGCCTCTAGAGAAGCACCAACATTGCTAGCGCTTAAAAGAAAGACAAATGTCTTCCGACTCTGGTGATTCAGAGATCAAGGCACCTTCACAGATTTTCATAAGCAGAGCTGGGGAAGGAACTCCAGCAGGAAGAAATGACTCAAGGCCAGATGAGGAGGTGGGGAGGCCCTGACTCTTGTCTGGGGGTAACAATCGTGGTTTAACTGGATCCTGATGTTGCTGTGAGGGAGGATTAGAAGACAATTGGCCTGAAGCCCATCACGTAGGGCTTAATGCCAGGCCAGGGGAGCTGAAATTTATTCAACAGATAATGGTACATTTCTGAAGGTTTTCCCCAGTGGAGAAATGCAACACGAGCTGAGCTAACGAAGGTTTAAGTAGGCAGTGGAAAAGGGTGAATTTAAAGGGATAGAGAGAAGGCAGGAGAGGGCGGTGGGGAGGTTATTCCAACAGGAAGGTAAATTTGGAGACAGACCATAAGGGACAACGTGCGGTGGTGGCAACAGAAACAGAAAGGAAGACCGACCTCGACAGTCGAGGGGCTGGGGGATAGGATGGGCTTAAGCCAGCTCCTCCTGCACTTTCACAAGTGGCAAGACCCAACTCTTTTGGTAGCGTAATCCAGTGTCTTACCATTTTTCATGGAACCACATTTGCACTAAAATGAAGCATAAGAAATTCAGAATGGAGGAGGAATTGTTATGGGAAACTATCACTGGGCCCATGGCTTTTTGTTTTGTATTTTTGAGATGGAGTCTTGCTCTGTCACCCAGGCTGGAGTGCAATGGCACGATCTCGGCTCACTGCAACCTCCACCTCTGGGTTCAAGCAATTCTCCTGCCTCGGCCTCCTGAGTAGCTGGGATTACAGGCATCTGCCACCACGCCCAGCTAATTTATGTATTATTTATTTATTTATTTATTTATTTATTAGTAGAGATAGGGTTTCACCATGTTAACAGGCTGGTCTCAAACTCCTGACCTCAGGTGATCCACCCTCCTTGGCCTCCCAGAGTGCTGGGATTACAGGTGTGAGCCACCATGCCCAGTCCCCAATGGTTGTTTTAAATGGCACACAATTTGAAAACATCTAAATTTCCTGACCATTTGGCTAACCTTAATACTCTTTAATAATATTAAGTAATCTAAACCAGATTAGTTCAAAGTTCTGTTTCTTTCGATTTCTTTAAAAAGATTTTCCTCCATTCCTTGTGCGTTGCTATTACAGAAGACGATTGTTACCTTCTGATCAATGAGCAGGCGATCTCACAAACTTGCAAGGATTTTTTTCAAAGATAGAAATAGATACAGATTGATCCCGAATGTAAAAATCAAGCATAGTGCTAATATTTAGACATTTTCCCAGTGTATCCAGGGATTATTTGAGTCACCAGAAAAGATTTTTCGTGACTTTTCTTTATTCTTAACATGAAAAGTTTAGCAGCAAGTCAAGTTTCTGGAAAATCCTATGAACCATCTTGTTCTTTGGAGAGCTTAACGACACCTAGGTCATCAACAACAATCAACAATGAACTATTGATTTCAGCTGTAATGATCGAATAGCAGTGCCTTAAATCCTTCCTGGCAGGGATGGCAGCATTGCATGCACATGTATATGTGCACGTGCCAGAGTAAGCCAGTGTGTGGGCACCAAAGTTACCTCTGTGGTTTGGAACATCCAGAGGCCCAAAGCCAGCCCTTAGCTCCGTGCAGGTAAAAAGGGTAAGAAAGTGCAACAGTTAAAGCAATACAACGGAGTGAAGCCTCCTGTGCTTATTTCTAAGTAATCAAAGCAGCTGTATAACCACAAGGCAGCTGTCCCAGGCCGACTGCTGACCGTGTAGCTGACAGTTACATCATGAACTAAGGGAATGTGATTTTTAGAAATTTCACTTATTACCTACCTACCCATAGTTCATGAGATGAAAAAGTTTTGTAACTAAAATATGTAACTTCCACATAAAGAATCGGGGAATTAAGAGGACATATAACAACAAGATAAACATACATAATGAAGGTCCACGTTACCATTAGAGAAAGTGAACATAAATACTGAAATATTAAAGTAAGGTATACAGGGAATATAGGTTTACAGTGTTGTGATTTTTAAGTAGAATTTTTAATCATTTTTGGAAACTAAACAAAAATCCAGAAGAAAGCATATGTTTTTCTCATCATAAATATAAAAAAAAACTGTGAAAAGAAAATGGCAATACTAACCACATTTTGATACATTCTCATAAAGTCTAGTAACAATAACTTCTAGCACTTTAAAGTTTTCTAGTTCCGACCTAGATTTTATTTTTGCCAAGATACAACCTAGCCTGATAGCTCCAATAGCAATTACAGAATATGACCCAATTATTTCTTTACCCCCCAAAAAAATTAACATTTTTTTGGTTAGGAAACAGAAGATATTTTAATGAAAATGATCTAAAACAAAAAATGCAATTGTGGTAAAATAGATGAGGAAATTGTACTTCTTTGTATTAAAATATTTTTCATAAAACATTAAAAATATATTAATGAGAATTTAATCTCATATAAGAAAGTTAATATGCTATAATATTGCTTTATGTATGTTTATACGAAATTGCAGGGAAGTAAAACAAATTATGTCATCATAATATTATTTTGTATCCCCTACAGAAATATTTTTCTAAAACCACTAAAAAAGCATATTACAGACTTAGTGAGGAGGCTACCTGTAAACAAATTATTTTCATGGAGAAGCAAGGAAAATTACTAAAAACAAAATTTACATTTAAAATGTAGTCAATAAAGGTCAGGTGGTCAATGTTGGTCTCAGTTTTCCCCAAATGTAAAATGGCAGCCCAAGGAAAAGAGAACCGTTGGACAAAATTTGAAAGGAAAGACATATTTTTAAGGATCAGTTAGGAACAACTTTTTATTTTCTTTTATAGTAAATTTTCTGACAGCCATATCCTTGCATTTAAATTCTACCAATCACAGTGACTCAAAATTATAATTTGTAATTATAATTGTTAATTGCTTAATGAATAATTAATTTCACAGATAACTTGAAAGCTATAGATGGATGATAGATTAGCTAGATAATAATAGAGAATTTTAAGATTAGAAGGAAAACAGTTTTCATCTGAATAATATGTCCATTATAAAGAAATGTTTTAAGTGGTATTTTTTATTTCACTTTGTTTTCATATATATCACAACTGAATTTCTCAGCCAGAGCATCTATAAAGACATTTCATTATTTTGCATATGGTGGTTTCCCTTTGATGTTTGGTGGTTGAACTTAACCTTTCTGTACCATGGGCTCCTCCTCTGTAAAAATGTGAGCAGTAACATTATCAACTTTCCAAGGTTGTTGTGGGGATTAATGAGAATTCAAATTAAATAAGCTAAATGTATTTAAATGCTTAGCATAGTGCCTGACACACAGTAAGAATTAAAATTTAGGTCAAACCACATGAAATTGACATTTTTTAGCCAAAAATAGTTGAATATTGGCAACGTTATCTGGTTCATTATAAAGCAGTATTCACTTTTATAATTATTCTAGGCTACGTGCCTATTTTTAAAAACGTAAATGCATACAAAAGAAAAAATGACACGGACCAAAAAGTATTTAAAACCAAGTAATCCACAGATTAGGGGGAGCTCCTGTCCTAAAGTGATTACAAGGGCGACCATAAGGAATTTCTGTGTTAATTGGCTTGGCCACACCGACACTGAGTGCCCTTAGCAAGGAAGCAGACTGTAAGGGAAACAGCCGAGGCTTCAGCTTTAGGTTGACCTGAGATCAAATCCCACTTTGACAATTTGCTTATCCGTACAGTGGGTAGATTTGGAATATTAATGAATGCACCATGAACTCCTTGAATTGATCTTATTACGGAAGTGAAAGAAAGTAACATTTTTTAGCACCCCATAATTGTCAAGCTTTTGGCTAGGTGCTGTCTATAAATTAGTTCATTTAATTGTTAGAACTATCATGTAAGAAGCACTGATACTGTTATTATAATAATGATTATAATTACAGCAAACTCTGCTGCAGGACTTACTAGTAGATAGCAGCTGCTTTGCATATATACCCTATTTAACCTTCACAGCCACACGCTAACATAGATCCCTGGGAGGAATATTCGAGAGTTTTTCCCATCTTCTTCAGCATCATGGCCAACCTCATAGAATTAAGGATTAAATGAAGGAGCATACATAAAACTCCTAGCCTGATGCCTGACACCTTGCTTCCCACAGGGCCAATTCAGGGTCCTTGTCCCATGCCCTGAGGCCCTGAGTAGCCCTGGCCTTCTGCTATCAGAAGGGCTTCCTTAGTAAACCCCACGCAGTTCTAAGCTCTATAACCCAGAGCAGCAGGAGGCTGTCTTCATACCGCAGCCCCTGGGGGGTGTTAGGAGACTCGTGGAAACCCATTTTACTTTATTCTTCAGGAAATATAGGCCCCCAAAGTCTATTTCTTGCCAAAAGCTCTAATTTGCTATCTTATAGTGGTCAGGTTTTTGGGGTAGAATAGTAGAACTAATTAAAAAGGGAGTCCATTGTGTTCCTTCAAGCAGGAAACAATCATAACAGGACTTAAAGGAATTTAGTATTTTGAGTAATTTTCTTCACCTTCAGGCATTTTTTTTTTGAGACGGAATCTCGCCCTGTCGCCCAGGCCAGGCTGGAGTGCAGTAGCACAATCTCGGCTCACTGCAAACTCCACCTCCCGAGTTCAAGCAGTTCTCTGCCTCAGCCTCCCGAGTAGCTGGGATTACAGGCACCCGCCACCACGCCCGGCTAATTTTTGTATTTTTAGTAGAGACGGGGTTTCACCATCTTGGCCAGGCTGGTCTTGAACTTCTGACTGAGTGATCCACTCACCTCGGCCTCCAAAAGTGCTGGTGGAATTACAGGCGTGAGCCACTGCGCCCAGCCCACCATCAGACTTTTTACATGGAGAATGTTTGGGGGCCCAGTGATGTAGTTCTTTATGGGATTCATAAAGGGTTTCCTGACAGACACACTACTCGAGTAATGACTGTAGCACGCAGAGATATGTGCAGCCCAGCCATTTATTTCACTCATTTTAATGTACTTTGCTCTTTCAGACAGGGCAATAATTAGACCTGCCAGTAGCTTTTCGATATGAGAAAAACCACTTTAAATGCTCCACACTGATTTCTGTAAACAGCTTGCTTTTTCTTAATTTATAATGTTATCTCTTCTAACAGGCCATAACTACATAAAGGGACATGAAAAAAGTAAAAGAAATACCAGATAATTTCGAACTTAAGATCACATGTACTGAACTATCTATCCAAACCATTATTTTACCTTAACTTGAATAGCTGTCAATTGTCGATCTGATTTTGCAATAGCTCACTGCCTATCAGAAATTCCAAATCTTTTTGTAATGTTTGTTTTTAACTTTCAAACCTGCTCTCAATGTAATATCTTTCTTCCTGCGACGAAGCTTTGTTTCTTTAGTTAAATTGAAATAAGACTATGTAAAGACTTTGTCTCCCTATTATTCACTAAAGAGGGTGAACAAAATCACCAGACCTCAAAACAAAATTGACACCCTGGTGCTTACTGGTGCTTAAAGGGAATGTCAGCACACCCACTGAAATACTTCTTCAGTGGAGGTCACGGTTCAGGTTGCTGGCATGGTTTTATAAGGAGGCTCGTGTTGCAGCTGTCTGCACTGTCCCTAGCCTGAAGATAAATAGCAGACTTCAGTTTCCACTGCTACTGGTCTTTTAACCTTCAATAAGAACAAATACTTCTGCCTTAGCTTCATCTGCCTCCAAGTTCATCTCCCAGGACCTAGTGAGCTATCTCTTATCTATCTCCTTCCCAGCCTTCAGCTTGGGCTTCCTAGAGCTCAAGAGCATCCCAGCCCACTCTCATCTTTAGAGGCTCCCCATACATTAAAAAATGTAGAAATGCCAACACAAGTTCAAATCAATTGCAATATATCATGAATGTTTACATTGAACAAATTCACACTTTTCACATACAAACCAAAATAACAATGACTTTATGTGTAGCCTCATTGAGACTTAATCCAACTTAAGACACTTTGTAAACCTGAGCGCTGCACCCAGAAGTGTGAGTTCTTGCCTCTGATTAGCGACCCCTCACAGCCACCTGATGGGTGGGTGGGTGTGCAGTCATAAGGATGTAAAGCAAGCTTTTTAGAAACCTAATTCACTGTAAATGTCCCTCCTTCTGTATATGACCATCAATTCAGCTTCTCACAATGATGGACTGACCGTGCAGTGTCCTCTGCATTGCTTAACACAATCCCTCCAATTCTTCGGTGCCCAAGGTGGTGGCCCGGGATACCTGGGCACCTTTAGAAGTGATAGTGACTCTTCATCACATCTCTCTGCTCTCTGAAATAGTGCTTATTGCATCGACCAAAAAGAAGTGAATGCTGGAGTGGCTTGTGCATGCCAAAAAATCTAACTTCTGAGATCTTCTGGTCTACTCCCTAGCTTCCCAGGGTGATAAGATGAGACTTTGTTTTCTTTATAACCTCTACCCAGTAGACAAATAGGCCAAAGATAAGAACAAATCACTCTCACAAAGGAAAAAAAAAAAAGCCCACACAGCAAAATAATACATGGGAAAAGGTTAACCCTCCTTAGTAATTAGAAAAATGCTAACTAAAGCAACCTTAGAGTAGCATTTTATAGACGCTGGATTGGCAAACACAATTTTACTTCTAACACCCAATGCTGTGATAAAGCAGGCACCCGTATGTGTTGCTGGAACATCATACACTGGCCTAACCTTTCTGAACAATCAATGTGGCAGCCTATACCAGTAACCACAAAATGTTCATATTCTTTGAAGCAGTAACCTCACTTTTGAGAATTCTTTCAAGGAAATAATACAACTAAGGAAAAAGACTTTATGCACAAAGATGTTGATTGCATCACTCACAAAAATTGTGCAAATCTGGAGGTAGACTTAATGTCTCTAGCCAAAGAAGAACAGCTGAGTAACTTGTATTCCTTCCACTCCATAGCTATTAAACAGCCATGACAAATGATAATTAGGTAGAGTAGATATCAATGTTGAAAATCCCAGATGCCATAACTCAGTGAAATCATCCTCTCCGGTAACAACGCATTCCAACCTCAAGGTCTTTGCCTTTGCTGTTCTGCACTGCACGTTCTTCTCAAGCTTATTTCTTTCTCCCAAGCCGACTTCTCCACACTAAGATGTCAGCTTAAATTTAATTTTCCCAGGGAGATCTTCTGGATCATCGTGCCTGTAGTGGCCCCCCAAGTCCATCTCTACCACATCACCTTTCCGTTCCTTGCCAGGACTTCTCACTCTGAAGTACTCTTATTTAATGGTTGGTTACCTGGCATATTACCGGACTCCTCTGCCAGAATGTGAGCCCCCTAGTCTACATTCCCACTCTAGTCCAATAATCTATCCTCAGCTGCTGAAGCTCTAGAACACAGCTGGTCTTCTTGAAATCACAGAATTTGGATGATGACATCTGAGTTCATATTAGAAGCTGGTTCCTGAGTCCCACCTTGGATTTATTGCCTTGTTCTTTTATCCTCCGACTGGGAAGCCAGTTTACAAACAGACACTGATCTAAGCACCAGGCAGGCCATGTGGCCAAATGAAGAGAGCTGTATTTCACCAAGGCGAATGCTCCAGCTGTTGCTCTGGGGGTCCTTCCCACCACCCAAGCCCCATAGACGTGTCAGGAACCATCAGCCTGACCTGCCCGCCCTGCCCTGCAGCCAGAGCCTACCTGTGATGAGGAGAGTGGAGGACGGAGTTGGCGTCCTCGAGGCCAGGAAGGTTGCCTGTCCCTCAGCACTTCCTCTGCCAGACTACCTTGACTCCCCAAATTCCCACCACTGGAGCTGCTCCTTTGAGCCAAAGGTGTCTGTAAAAACTAAACATAGGCCGGGCACGGTGCTCGTGCCTGTAATCCCAGCACTTTGGGAAGCCGAGGTGGGTGGATCCTGAGGTCAGGAGTTCGAGACTAGCCTGGCCAACATAGTGAAACCCCGTCTCTACTAAAAATACAAAAATTAGCTGGGCATGGGGGCGCGTGCCTGTAGTCCCAGCTACTCAGGAGGCTGAGCCAGGAGAATCGCTTGAACCAGGGAGGCAGAGGTTGCAGTGAGCTGAGATGGCACCACTACACTCCAGCCTGGGCAACAGAGGGAGACTCCGTCTCAAAAAACAAACAAACAAACAAAAATATATAGCCTAGACTGAGGACCCACCATCACATGGCAAGTCTTTAAGTCCAGGGTCTTGCTGATAGAAGCACGTAGGGGGCACAGAGCTCCCAGTACAGATATTTCCAAGAGGCTGGAACTAAGTGGAATGACCTATCCGGAGGCCTTGGGCAGGTGAAGGACAACAGAACTCTGGGAGGTAACACTGGGGTGAAGCCAGAAAATCAGTTGAGCCCTTTACCCAGGTCTCCATCAACCTCTGGAGGTTTACATTGTCCAGACCTAAGATGGCAGGCGCCAGACTTAGTGGAAGCTTGGTGAGTGAGCCTGCTTACCAGAGCATTTGCCTCAGTTTACTCGGCGCTCTCAGTCTACTCTGCAGATGACGTTGAATTTGGAAGCCTGGTCCAGGGCAGGAGCTCTGATGTCTACCCCATCCCAAAGGGCCTAGGACCATGGCGCTGAAGAGTCTGGAAGAGGACGGAGGGTTTCTTTGGGCTCAGAGGCCAACGTAGCAATCTATGCAGAGAAGGTGGCGGTAGATGCGGGGATTTTCGCCTCAGTAGAGAAGCGGAGGGAGTCTCCTCGAAGCCTCCGCCCTCACTCTCTTCCTGCAGGGAAAGATGTGAGCCAGAATGCTGCCAATGCCTCTTACTATCTCCTGCTTAACCGGGCTGTCTCCTCGTGGCCAGCAACGGGCAAGGAGATAGTCTCTCTGTCAATTCAGCTACTTATCTGACATAAATTGGAATTATAACACATGTATTAAGTGCCTTTAGTGCCTCAAAACACAAAATCAGGAAACCGGAATATAAATTATTTTGCAAATATTAAATCCCATAGTGATACTACAAAAGAATGACCTTTTTGTGGCTTAAAGCACAAGTATCAGGTGTGCATTTGAAAATAAAATCTGCTTCCTCCCATGAGTTTAGTAGGGCCACGTCCACTGCTTCCTCTCGTGAGTTTAGTAGGGCCACGTCCACTGCTTCCCATGAGTTTAGCAGGGCCACATCCACTGCTTCCCATGAGTTTAGTAGGGCCACATCCACTGCTTCCCGTGAGTTTAGTAGGGCCACGTCCGCTGCTTCCCGTGAGTTTAGTAGGGCCACGTCCGCTGCTTCCCGTGAGTTTAGTAGGGCCACGTCAGCTGCTGCCCGTGAGTTTAGTAGGGCCACGTCCGCTGCTTCCCGTGAGTTTAGTAGGGCCACGTCTGCTGCTTCCCGTGAGTTTAGTAGGGCCACATCCGCTGCTTCCTGTTGGCTTATCAGGGCTGCATGTCTCACAGTCAGCCAGCAGTCTAGGGAATGGGCCAGTCATGAGCTGTGCTCCTAAATTTGGAAAAATCAGGACCTTGTGGAGACAAAAAGGAAGTAAACAGAGCTACCATCCTTCAGATGACCACGTCTGGGTGCCATTTGCAGAAGAAGAGCCAGTCTTTTCCCCATTCAGTTAAGCACCAACATATTGAACTATATCTGAAGGAAAACGGAACGATTAAGTGTAAGCTTAAGCTATAAATTGTTTGCTCATAAAGTCCTACGACCAAGTATCTTAATCAGAGATGTAAGCAGGGTGCAAGGTACCAGTCTAGACTAAAAAAACTCATAAAGGGACATCCCAAAGATGAGGGCTCCAAGTTCAAGGTGAGTCCAGATAACAATGTCCTGCTGTCCCTCATGGCCTGAGGATGAAGCAGTTGCTCTTTAAAAGTGTTGCTCCTTTGTGAGGTTGTAGAGTAAACTCATTTTATTAAACAGTAAAGCAAAAAACACTCCATGGCGTTCTGTGGGGCTATACTTCCTGTCCTCTCCCAGAGGACAGTTAAATGATGGCCAGTCTACTCTTATCTGGGAGCTACAGTATAGACAAAATAGCAGCTGCAGTAATAATAGTTGTCGAAATTTATCAACAGCACGTTAAATTAATATAAACATAATGCATATTCTCTTATTTTTGTCCTGGAACCTGTCCTTACAGATGGATATTATTTCCCCTGTTTCAGTGGAGCTGGGATGCATGGCCATTTGTGTTCAACAAGAGCACGCCTCCGCCCCTCAGGGGTCCTGTTGTTTCATTTCCAAGCTGCCTTTGTCCAGACTAATCTTAATGTCCTGATTCAGGGGAAAGCCATCGGGTACACTAAACTGAGGAATTTTAAGAGATAAAAATGTAACTCGGACAAATAAACATTCTTTATTCAAAAGTATCAAAAGTCAGCATATTTCACCTATCAACATTTCCAACAAGCTTCAGTGTCTATTGTGCAAACCCAATTTTGCTGCTGTGGCAAATTAAATGGCCACATTCAAAACTTCCCCCCACAGTTTAGATACTGTTCTCTCTCTCTCTCTTTTTTTTGTTTGTTTTTTTTTGTTTTTTTTTTTGTAAGATGTGGCCAAAACTTTGATTGGGCTTTAAAGCCTTAAACATTTGTAAAAATATCAGGCAAGCTCAAGCATTTTCAGACTGTGTCCTGCATTAATACACTTGGGGCAAAGTGGATGTCTCTTGCCACATTTAACTCACCAGTGTAGAAGCTGATAAAGGCTGATAGCCAGAGCTTGGAAAGATATTTCTAGGTTATTTTTAACTAAGACAGTTGTAAAAGGCGTGATGGATTTAACTCCGTCACTTTCAGAGCAGCTAACTGAGTTCAGCCAGCAGACTGCTTTGATTTGTTCATTAAATGTATTATGTTTGCATTACTTGAGTTCATTTGATGAGATATTCCCACTCTGTAAAATATCCAGCTAAGGATTTGGAAATCTATTCAAATTTTGCATCCATTAATTCATTTTAGAATTTTCAAAGAGTAGGTACTTTAGGCAAGCTAAGATATATCCCAAATATTCGGGGAAACATCCAATCTACAGAAATGGTGTAACGTGTTTTTTCATCGTAAGCACGATTGGTGAGTTTATCCATTTAATTATTTTTCTTGCTAGAACAAGCAGTACATCAAGGCCATGAGAATCTTTTACTTTGTAGCTCTGTGCCCCGCTGTGCAGCCCAGTCACCTACAATGATTCAGCCTTATCTTGTTATGATGGTGAGCACTGGGATGGCTATGCAAAGGCTTCTAAGTTCTGAGTTCATCATTTTAGAAATGCGTTTCCCCATAGTTTAATGTGTTTGCTGATAACATTTATTAGAAATCTGAGATGAGCAGGGTGAGGGGGCCAAGCCTGTAATCCCAGCACTTTGGGAGACCGAGGTGGGTGGATGACTTAAGTCGAGACGTTCGAGATCAGCCTGGGCAACATGGCAAAACCCCATCTCTACAAAGATAAAAAAATTAACCAGGCGTGGTAGTGCGTGGTCCCAGCTACTCGGGAGGCTGAGGCAGGAGAATTGTTGGAGCCCAGGATGCCGGGATTGCAGTGAGCTGAGATCGTGCCACTGCACTCTAGCCTGGGTGACAGCGTGAGACCCTGTCTCACAAAAAAGAAAAAAAGACATCTGAGATGAATTTTTATTTTTGTGCCTCAATCACAGAAAAAAAAATCAGAGCTGAAAACAGGTTGTATCTGGCATCATTAACATTACCTAGAAATGGAGAAGTCTGATAGCAGCTGCCAGGCTGGCTCATTTTTAAAAGTTTTCACCACCAGTGTAGAGGTGGTTACAATTATTTCCAGTAGGTTTTATCACTCCTGAGGGCAGCCATCAGTAGTTCTTTTCCAATCAAAATCATCTATTTTGCTGTTTCGCGAGCTGGTTGAAAATCACCATGTAGCTATGAAATAAACCATACAAAACAAAACTTAGATATTAAATGAAAGCACTATAAAAATCCGATATGTTCTTCTTCTTGGAGCAAAAGCTGCTAAAAAGTAAATGGGACCAGGTGCAGTGGCTCATGCCTGTAATCCCAGCACTTTGGGGGGCTGAGACGGGGGGATCACCTGAGGTCAGGGATTGGAGACCAGCCTGGCCAACATGGTGAAACCCCATCTCTATTAAAGAAAAAAAATACAAAAATTAGCCAGGCATGGTGGCGGGCGCCTGTAATCTCAGCTACGCAGGAGGCTGAGGCAGGAGAATCACTTGAACAGGGAAGGTGGAGGTTGCAGCGAGCCGAGATTGAGCCATCACACTCCAGCCTGGGTGACAGAGCAAGACTCCATTTCAAAAAAAAAAAAAAAAAAAAAAAGTAAATGGGATAATCTCATTTTTCACTATGAACAAAAAGTTTTTTTTCTTCTCAAATTTAAAGATGATCCAGGTAAACCCCACTTTAAGTTGAGGAGTACATGATTGAAAAGCAGCCAGATGAAGCTACCTAGCTGTAGAGACCCTCCACATATTGAAGCTCATTTGATCGAACATTTCCAAATTCATGTAAGTGCTATTTCCATGGATAACAACTCACAAATATGTAAATAGTAAACAAAGAATTGGAATTAGGCACATGGTGGCCACTACACCTACCATACACTTTATTTAGAACTGAGTTTGCTTATATCAGTATCTGGATCCAGTAAACCCACAAGGTAGCAATTTACTTATACTTTCATTCATTCAGTTTACAAGTGCCCAATTTGAATTTGATGCCCACGATGAGGTTTATAACATAATTACCATGATCCTTTCCCCCCACGAGGTGGTAGAATGCAAAAGGGCTAAGTAAACAGGAAACATCTATTAAGGGTTTTAGAGTAACCTGGAAATAAGCAGGGAGGGGACTACAGGCCTAGTGCTCCAGGAATTCAAAAGAAAGAAAGATGATGTGGATGCAAAATCAAAGAGGGAGTAACATTAGCCCTGAACCAAAGTAAGCTTGAACTTACCAGGAGGAAGAGGAGAGCATATTCCCATGGGGAATTTAGGCATGAATGAAAATTTCATGCAGTGGGGTCAGTAGGAAATCCAGCCTGAGTGAAGCAGGAGGTCCCACTGTGGAGGAGAATGCAAGTGACCGGCTTCGTGAGGGAGATGAGATCACACAGGGGCCAGACGACTGGGGTTTTGAATCGGATCCATTATAGAACATGGAGACACTGATTATTAACCAGAAAAGAAATGATGAGATAAATTGTTCTGCAGGGTAAATCAGGAAGAGGAGGCTTTGAAGATGGAAAGATAAACAGACTATTAACTATGATCCAGGAGGAACTGGAGTGGGAGGCCTGGCCCCACCGTGTCCCACACAGCAGCAACTGCACAAAGAAAGGAGGGCCAAGGGCAGCATTTCATCTTCCGAGCCCACACTCGGTGCCTGTGCTCCTCACAGGAGCCTTCTGCACTTACCAGGGGGCCATCTGAGGGCCTCCACACCACATTCAATTCCAGCAAGAACTGTTGGAGAACTGCAAGAACCCTTTCCTGAAGGAAACCCAGAGACTCTCCTACTCTTCGTAGAGAATGGGAACCTTCAACTTTGATTCCTAAACTTTCCCAACATAAGTGACTTCAATGTGGCTTTCTGGTTTGTTTCTTAAGACCATTCAAATACTTGGAAGGTTCCTCCTTTTTACCTTCTCACTCTATTCCTGCGATCCCACAGTTATAGGTTCTCCTCGTGCCTCTGGTCCAATACCAGGCGTCCGTCCACTAAGTAGCAATGACGTCCCTGGGCAGTCACGCTCAGCCTGCTCGTCTATCTTGTATTCATGAAAGCCTTATAATTTCCTCATCTAGAAGACTATGTAACTAATATCTACCAGACTAAAAATAAATCATAATAAATGCCCATAAAGATGGGGGTATGAAATGTGAAATTGATCCTAGACTTTGCCCATACTGACCATGTGTTTATGGCACTGAGAGAAAAGTCCTTGAAATCAGTCGGCCTTGATTTTTGTCATCCTGCCTGTATCTCTGTGAGTGATACTATTTTAAGGACCTGTAATGAAGTAAAGATAGTGTAATAGTCTATGTCATAAAAAGTGATATTTTTTATCATAGCAATTGACTATCCTAGGAAACACTACCCGGTTGGTTGCAGTGGCTACAGTATCTCCCCATCACTTACTCACCTGGAACCTCTCTGCTGATGATACGGGGCTAAAGTTCTTCTGTAGGTAGCAAATGTTCTGCTACCTCCTGCTCTCGCTGTGATGACATGTGATGCTTGGACCTCTCTTTCTGAACCTTCCCGCCATCATTCTTGCACTTCAGCAGATTCTTACTTTGATTTCTCTTTTTCAGGATCCCAGTATCACTTACTGCTTACATCATTTCACTACATTTTCTCACCTCTCAAAACCTCAATTTTCTCCCCTGTGAAGGGGAATAATAATAGTATTTAGCTCATAGGGCTATTCTTAGTTTTAAATGACCTAATCTTTGTAAATGACATTATATTGTTGTTATTATTACTCCACCATGAGATAAGACAGCGAGAAATAGATTTAACACAGACAGCTGGACTTAACTCTCTGCTCTTTTTTTGAAGCACTCTGTTCCCCGAATCATGTTGGCCAATAAGAAAAGAGATGAGCTTTTACTTCACAAGCTTGAATTCAGCTTAATTCAATGATAACTGAATCTATTGTTATAATTATCCAGTAGAGGGATAAATTGATGAACCCACCTATTTTTCTTAGTATAACTTTCAGGTCAAAACAGTAATTAATCAGAGAAGACCTTAGCTTGCCTTTTTGTAGTCTTGACCAAATCATTGTCAATTGGTATGTAAAAAAGAAATTAACCCATATAATTGGTCTTTAAAAAGCTATATAGACTTACTGAAATAGCAGAATGTAATAGCATTTGATGTAGGGTGTCAACAAATAATATGAATTTTGCACAGTGCTCTCTTAACTAGAATTAATTATATAAACATTTGGTCTTTTCAGGTTTTCTTAGAACTTGACTTGACACCTGATTTTGATGCTTATGAGGTTTCTGACTTACTTTGAAGAATTACATAGTTGCTTTGTGATCATCTTTTCAGTTGAAATACAGGCATCCATTGAATAACTGTCATTTCTAAATGCTTATTCCAAAGTTACATTGTGATATTATAAAAAGTAATATTAGGTGAATAGAAACCAGAGAGCATCCAAAGTTCAGTCTTTATTCAGAGGCAGTAACTGAGATTCAGAGAAGTTAAATAACCTGCCCATAGTTAAATAGCTAGTGAGTTATTGAATAGTATAGCTACTAAGTTATTGAAAATTATATCTCAGGCTATTTGCCTTGAAGTCCAGTATTCTTTTCACTATATCAGTATGATCCCATTGTTAGTGTTGTACATTTCATAGATAAATGAATCTACTTTGCAGTTGGACAACGACAATTGTTTAGAAATTGTCATTGTCTATGTGAGGGAAATTTAGATATTGAATTGACTCTTAGGCCAAGATTCATGATCTCTTCAGGTGACCAATGGCCCCATTCAGAAGATGAAAACGTTTCCTCAAGCTTTTGGAAATATGATGGCTTAGTAACCTAGTGCTTTAGTGACCCAGCCTTCGGTGTCAAGAAGAGAGAAAGAGAACGAGACATCCAGCTGGGAATCGAGTGCTTACTTCAAAGCTTTTATCTTCAGAGGAAAGAAATCTTGTGAATTTCATTAATGTCAACAAGATCTGAGAAGATTTGAAGTGGGTAAGCCCTTGGGCATCTCTAGCGTGCCAGATGCCGTGGTTATTGTAAGTTTTGGTTGAAAAACCATTGCAACTTTGATTCACACACCCATGAACCAAGACTTTGGAAATATCCATTGTAAGGTTGTATTTAAGGGAATGTAGGGAACCTTCGGTTTCCAAGAGAACATGAAGTCAGCCAAGGAAGCAGTGGCTAAGCATGGCCCAGACACAGAAACACCCAGGATTCCAAATGGGGAAACACACATTATGGTTAAGGGGGAGAAAAGTTGAGTCCCCTCAAAGTTACATAGCAAAGCTAAAAAAATAGAGTGAAAGAAGCATTTCTTTAGGATTCTAAAAGCAGATAACTTCACGGCTTCTCCCCAAAAGGCTCTTCTCTTACTCATTGTTTAAAAAGAAAAAAAATGAATTTGGTCCTAGGTTTTCCCCTGCCTCTTTCTTTTCTTTCTCACTCCTTCACCTCCAGAAAAGACCAGATTGGAATTCATAGCTGTTTCCCTATAATTATCTAAACTTTACTGGAGAAAACTCTTATTCTAAAACAGGTAACACTATTTCTATATAGTAAATTCAGTCCAAGCTAACCCAAACAAACACATTTCTGGCAAAACAAATGGTGACAATTTAATCTAGGTATTGAAACTGTAAATATCTTAAAAGATAAAATATACCTGTAGCTTTCCTTTTCCCCTTTCTTAATTCATATTAAAAAAACTCAAAAGCAACCATTTCTAAATTCGCAAACATTATGAGTTATTGTTAATGACTTTTTTTAGCAATATGTTATCTGTTGAATAAATTTCTTTTGAAAATTTTTAGCTTTATTTCACTAAAATTGACATTTCTGCTTAAAAAACAAGGAGTAAATACAAACAAGGAGTTTCTGTTTTGGTCATCTCAATCTTTTAACTACTAAATCCAATAAACACAAAGGAAAAATTTGGCTGGGTGTGGTGGCTCACGCCTGTGATCCCAGCACTTTGGGAGGCCAAGGCGAGCGGATCACTTGAGGCCAGGAGTTCGAGACCAGCCTGGTCAACATGGCAAAACTCTGTCTCTACTAAAAATACAAAAATTAGCTGGGCATCGTGATGCACACCTGTAATCCCAGCTACTCAGGAGGCTGAGGCAGGAGAATCGTTTGAACCTGGGAGGCAGAGGCTGTAGTGAGCCAAGGTTGCACCACTACACTTCAGCTTGGACCACAGAGTGAGGCTCCGTCTCAAAAAAAAAAAAAAGGAAAATTTATTCAGAATCATCCAACAGAGAATCTGTGATGGCTTAGTGTCGTCAAGAAACATGATAATAATAAATGCAGTGAGTTCCACCTGCACAAACCTGCCAAGACCTGAGCCAGGCCGCCAGGGCTCGCTTTCTCTCTCACCACAGCGGATGACATCACTGCAACCCAATCAGAAGAAAGCCAGCTTTAGCTGTGACTGATGACGTCAAAGGTTACAGGTCTTAATAGGTGAAAATCCTTTTACTTGGGCCTTAAAGCTCTTGAAATTTTTTAGTTCAGCATTTGAGAATCAAAAATATGCCTTTTCTGGTCCAGAAAGAAACTATTTGATTTCTTCTGTCAGCATTTTTTTTTTAAATTCCACTCAGTGTTGCTTCAGCGAGATTACCTGGCCCCAGTGGGGAACACATGGCAAGGCGATTTCTGCAGTCGGCTTGATTCCGACAAATGCTGGGTACGGAAAGAGCTTGGATCTGGCCTGAGTTCACTCAAGCGCCATGTGTGCAAAGTGGCTACGCCTGGCAGCAAATGCTCCACATGCCAACGGCCAGAGCACAGCCCTAGACCGATGGCGGTGCGGCTGAACCACGAGGCCTCCGCAGCTATTTATTTCAGAGCCTTGGTTTTATGGCTGTCATTCAGCCTTGGGTGCGTGGAGAGAGTCAGTCTGCCTGAGTCAATGTCTCATGCTCTCTGCGGCTAAGGTGAATGTTGTTCTATCAGTATAATCGTCATGTATTTGTCTGAGATAGTTGCTAATTTCTACAGTCAGTTCTACAGTCTAGCTATTGTGTACCTAGGAAGTAACACAAACCATTGTTGTTACTGAGCCTGGCAAGTTGCATCATAAAATTCAAGCTTCCGAAAGCAGGTATTTAGTGTGAAGAAAGACTGGTAATGATAGTTTTATCATCATCTCAGTCACCTCTTAACCATTTCCTGATTCACTCAGGTGGTTTTTAATGGAGTTTCCCAAGTTAGTGTTTCCTGGGAGAATGTTTGGTTCGTTGCCTTCTAACAGCCTCCAGCTCTTCAGGCATCTCAGGCAGGAGAGCGTGTTGGGGCCGGGACTCTCCTCCCGTGGACCTGACAACTCTGCCTTCCCCGGTGTGGTCTCGCTGTTCCCTTTGAGAGTGCGATGCTGCCGCTTCAGCCAGGACGTTCTCAAAATTAGCAGAAGGGCTTCCTTCCTGAAATCGTGCCTATTTAGGATTTTCTTAGTCATTACGAAAAAGTATAGATAGAGTTCATAAATGACTTCATCTATTCGGTATCAAATGAACAACACTTCAGGCATGTTGAATGAGCAATCTAAAGGAAACATTTATTTGTTTAATTTTTCCAGTGCCTTCAATAAGGCTTTCATTTCCAAATAACTCCTTTGTGTATTGCTGTTCATACAATGGCTATATATTTACCATTTAACAGTATTGCCCCAAAGCGTAAGAGTGAGAAAAATCCAAATTTGAATTAAATTCTCCCTGAGCCTCGCAGTGGCCGTCACACGTTCCCCTCCTGCTTTTCGCGTCTCTAGGATCTCCGAGTGTCTTGACTACAACAAACCGTTCAGAGTTCTCAAGACGCAGGGCTCGGTGGCAAGCAAAGCGCCACGGGGGACACACAGCGCGTGGAGGCTCTGGAAGCAGTGGGGTGCGTGGGCCCAGACATACTTCCATGGAGGAGAAAGTGACCACTGTATGCTACAGGAAGCGTGGCTAATTAGGCTTCCTCAGCTGGATGGCAAGCTCCCGGGGGTCTTTTTTGTCTCGCATTGCCCTATAGCGCGGAGTAGATGCTTAGTCTACAGGGAGGACAGCCTGTGAAACAGCTGCAGCTGCTGCCACGACCCACGGCGTTCTGCAGGACGGAGGAGCAACGCGTCAGCACACGTCCCGGGAGTGACGTGGGAAGACCTCGCTCTGGCCACCAAACCGTCCTTCCTTTCTGTCTTTGCTTCCTTCACCTTCGATTTTTTCCTTTCTCCTGTAATAGTCATAACTAAAGAACGTAGAAGAAAGAATGAAGTTTGCACACAGTCTAGAATTGAAATGGAGAATACATCATCAGAATCCTAGGTCATCCAAGCCTCTTGCTGGTCCGTGTCCACGGAGTGGCAGATATCTTTGTGAAATGTAAATGTGTCAGGTGCAGCTCCCCATTGCGGTGGCCCTCGGTGACAAGATATACGGCTGTCCCTTCACAGCCCCAAGCTGAGTTCACGCAGCCCGGAGGATGCTATCGCTGGACAAGAGACCAGAGACCGGGATAGACACGTGCGTCCTAGTTCTGAACAAAATGGTATCCGGAAAGAGAAAGCATCCCATGGGGACAGTTTAAGGAGGTTTAGATAGAAAAATGAGTGTGCATATTATTCATGCTTAAACTGCTTACATCATCAAAAACACCAATATTCAGAGGAATAAATGCACTTAAAATAATTCTTAACCAAGAACAACTTTGAGGCAGTAGGTCACATGCCTCCTGCATGGAGGGATCTCCAAGAACAGAAACTAAATCCCTCGTTCTCCTCTGCCTGCCTCTCATCTTTCCAGAAGCACCAGGTCTGGCTTAAACCATTGCTTTCATTCTATTTGTTTGATTATAAATAAAATATATCTTTTCCATCATCAATGTATATTTTCTAGCTCCCAGACATAAAATCCACTCCTTGCTTTCTAAATTGAAGTGTCATTTTCCTAATCAGAATTGACAATTGTAAATAACCATTTGGGTTTATTCGTTTTAATGTCCTATTCTCACAAACGTATTTTTCACGTGTCGCATGTATTTAAAATGGTGAGTTCAAACTTAATCATCTCAATTTCAGGCCCTCAAAAAACTGTCAATGTAGCAGGTTTGAAATGGAGACCTCATGATTCACCTGCTTCTCAACATAGTTAGACCCCAAACCGTGCAGGGTCATTGTTTCAGCATGAAAAGTAAAGGAGGTGTTCCTTTTTTGGTCTTTTTTCTACCCCAATGATACGCATTCTGCAACCACAAATATTCCAACTCCAACTCACTTTTTGAATAAGCAACTCCTATTGTGTTTTGTTCTTTTATCATTTGAGGTTATACACTGTGGAAAAACAAAAAAAGCTACATAGTTTACTTACTCCTATGGTCAAATTTTTTTTAAAAGTAAGAACATGAGATAAAGTTCTGCTTGTCATTGCTGCCTTCTGGGGCAGTGGAAAAGCAGGTGCCTTAAGCTTTCCATTGTGTGCAGATCTTCCACGCCCTTTCCCTCCATCAGGAAAATATGTCTGTCTCCTGGTCTATTCAGCTCTTGACCTTCTGACTCATATGCCGACAAAAGGCACCATTTATGAGTGACTAATGTATGTATCTTTGTCCATAAGGAACTTGATCACAGCAGCCACAACTCAGCATCATCATCAACTATCTTTTCCGTGTGCCCTCCAGGGGTTTATGCAATGGGCTCTGTCCTATGCAAACAGGCCATGCCACCTTCTCCCTAGGTCCACCTCTTTCATGCCTAGGAGGAGTTTATCAGCTATAATTTGGGGAGAAGGGGCACACAAAGATGAGCCCAACTCTGAGGGGACATTTGTCCCTGCTTTGGTTGGAATCCTGGAAAGCTGAAGTTGTTTCTAAAAAGCACATTCTCTGCTGCTGACCTCCCCTGTCACGCAGGGTCCTCCCACCAGCACCTCTGTTCAAATCCCCTGTTGCTTTTCATCCTGCCCACCTTCTTCCTTAACATCTTTTCTTTACACCTGTAGCAAATGTCAACAACGCCTCCTCCCAACACGAGCTTCCTCCTCCTCTCTCAATCCAACTCAAAGTCCTTCGTGGAAGGCTCCCCACAAGCGGAGCCACCGGGCTTCATCTCCCCCGTGCAGCCATTCCTGCCTGCACCTTCTCACGCCTCCGAACACCATGTCAATCTTAAGAAATATAAACAGAAAAACCGGTGGACTTCAAATGCATATCCATTTACATGTTTGTTTTTACAAAGTGTATCGTTGTTTTCCTCAAAAACAATAGGGCAAGGACCCTTTTGTTTCAAAATCTTATCTCTTGTTTATCTGATATATTCTTTTTGTTTTGTTTGTTTGTTTTTGAGACAGGGTCTTACTCTTTGCCCAGGCTGGAGTGCAGTGGCGCGATCATGGCTCGTTGCAACCTCGACCACCTGGGCTCAAGTGATCCTCCCACCTCAGCCTCTCAAGTAGCTGAGATTATAGGTACATGCCACCACACCTAGCTAATTTTTTAATTTCTTTTATAGAGATGGGGTCTTGCTGTTGTTGCTCAGGCTGGTCTCAAACTCCTGGTCTCAAGCCATCCTCCCACATCAGCCTCCCAAAGTGCTGGTATTACAGGCATGAGTCACTGTATCCAGCATCTCTCTCTCTCTCTCTCTCTGTTCCTCTCTCTCATTCGTGTGTGTATATATATATACATATATATATATAACATTTTGAATATTTGGGATGATCAAACTTTAAATAAATTGAAATTCAGCTTTACCTGTGACAGCACAAACACATGTACTATGAGGAACGAAAAACCCACCTAATCACAATGGCTTTGTGAACCATTTTAAGGTCATTTATTATGAATAAATGACATGCACTACAGTTGTGTGACTCACAATCTTTTTTTTTCTGAAAATTAGTAATATATCTGCCTGCCTTCACCCTCACCAAAAGAAAAGAATAAGGATAGAAATTTATTGTGTGTATATCACAGAAGACAGTGATATTTCTCTAATAAGTTTCTGGAAAAATCAAGCAAAAGAACTGCTTCCCTGTGCTGTGTAGGATTGTAATTGTTATATTTATTCTGGTCTGAACCATTACTAAGTCTTTTTTAAATGTCTCGAATGACTAATTAAGGATAAAAGGTTGGAAACACCATTTTTCCCTCTATTATTTTCACATTCAAACAAGATAAACATTGTGGGTCTACACTTGAAATATGAATAAAATGAATTCTTTCTCTGGTGAAATGCACATTTTCAAGTTGCACTGAAGGTCC
Source organism: Homo sapiens (assembly GCF_000001405.40). Lineage (NCBI taxonomy): Eukaryota > Metazoa > Chordata > Mammalia > Primates > Hominidae > Homo > Homo sapiens. The sequence goes on from NC_000006.12 coordinate 163,313,692, forward strand.
CTGGCCCCATGGCACTCTCTAGGCCTGAGCTGTCACCCTCATCCTACTGGGTCCTCCCAGCCCACCTGTGTACTTTCCTTCCACCATAGATAAGGCAGGACACACTCATGACTTGCTTGCTGGGAGAATAAATGTCGTTGAAGCCCTTGGTAACCTAGGAGTGGAATACAACAGAAAGCGTGGAATGACTATCGTTAGAGAAAACAATTGTGGAATATCTACACGCAGAATGGAAACTAAGGGGCCCCATTTTTGTCAGACTCCCTCACCCTTGGTAACTCCTGCAGCTTGGATACAATCGCATATCTCTTTCCTTAGTGATTTGAGATTGAGTCTGTGGTGTAGAGGAGAGGCTCTTAGCCATAGGTTCCTGGCCTTTGAAGGCCACCCTAGGAATTGCTTCCCTCGTAGCATCAGAGGCAGCTGAAGCGGTCACTTCCAGACTCTGCAGCTGACACACCTCCCCGGACTTGGGGACTCCAAAACTAGCAGTGGCACAAACTCCCTGCAAAGCCCTGACTGACAAATAGCTGTCATCCCAGCATTGAGTGATAGTTCGGGAGCAGCCAGGGCAGGAGAAGCAGCTTCCTCCTGTCCCACCTGCACCTGGAATGAGCAAAATGATTTCAAGGAACTGAACACTTGGATTACTGGGATTCAGGAGAAAGAGTTTGCCATGTGTTCAAAAGCAGCAGAGATGCGGGTGGGGGCTAAGCCTCATTCCAAAGCAGATCCATTTTAAATCACACGGAACGAACAGCCTGATCTCACAATAGACTGTTCCTTCTAAGTACACCGTGCTGTGATTTTGGAAAACTCAGGGCCCAAGAGAACACTCTGTATATAATAGATCAAGAAAGAGAGTCCCCGACTTGTCATCTTTCTTGTAACTGTGATTCACTTACTTTTGTTTACTCTGTTATTCCTTTATTTTAGGTTATTTTTCATCGGCTCCAATCTGGGACTTGGTATTTTTGTACAGTTGCCACTGCTTTTAAAACTCCGCAAGATCGTGTAAAAATCTTGCATGTTTGTGTCTCCTAATAAGCATTCAGAGAAAATGCCTAGACTGTGTAGGACTTTTCGGGAAATTGCAGAGAAGTAACTGGCCTCTTTGTGTGTTTGCATGCACCAGTGAACTCCGGAGACGGCATTGACTACAGCCAGCAGAAGAGGGAGAACATTGGGGACTTGATCCAGGAGACACTGGAGGCCTTCGAGCGCTACGGAGGAGAAAATGCCTTTATCAACATTAAGTACGTGGTCCCAACCTACGAGTCTTGCTTGCTAAACTAACAGTGGCAGCAGCTGGGACTTGAAACCTCCCGTTGGTGTTGGGATCATCTGTCTCTGTTGCTTTTAGCATCTCATTCCTTGTGACTTCCACAGCTTTCTTTTCTACAGCTGCTAAAATAGTGGCTTATGGGCCATTGGACTGTTAGCCCTATTGAGAGCAAGGCTTTCCAATACATAAATAGTGTCTGTTTCTTAGATTACAATAGTGTACTGTGCTTATTTGTTCTAAGAGAAGAATTGCTTCTTTATACAGCTCCGACAGAAGCAGGAGTCCGAGTTAAACCTTCAGTTGTATAGACAATAAACTATAATTTTCATATGCAATTCAGCAATTGCTGTTCTGTGTGTGCCTGCCCTGGGGGTGATGTCAGAGGTTGTAAGGGAAGAGTTTATGCTGACTGCTTACTAGGTGTTTGTCATGGAAGAGAAGCATGGGTTCAGCAGTGCCTCTCTAGCAGCTGTGCGGAATAATGTGCTTTGACATTCAATAAAACTGTTGAATCTATATTCCAATTACAGCAGGAAATTTTTCCAGCCCATTATAACCTCAGCTACAGTTGTAATTAATGCCTCTAGCCTACTAGTGATCTGGGCTTCAGGGGCTTTTCAGTTTATATTTGGGTGCAGGTAGGGGAAAACTAGGGAGAGGATGGGGTCAGGGTTACGTGTGAAACGTAACTTGGCAAATATGTTTAAAAAAAAAAAACAAGGGCTAGCTTGAATCCTTGTCTCTCCACCGTATGGCACACTGCATCTCAGGACCTGGTGTGTTATTGACAAAAGTGTTATCTGGCAGTTTGTTTAGGGCTTTTAATTATTTTTGAAAATGACTTATATGTATCTTAATGATTACTCCTTGAAACAGATCAAAATTCTTCCTTGGCAACTCTTCTTCCTTGCTTCCTCCCACTAGTTGGATGACTTCTCATAGCACGCAGTGGGTCTGATGGCCATTTTTGGGGATTTTATTGAGACCAAAAAGGAAAAAAAAAAAAAGACAAAAGACATGCACTTTTTCATTCAATTGAAAAAGAAAAAAGTGCCCAAAGGGAAGAGCAACTGTAAGATAGCCCCAGATCGTGGCTCTTCAGGCACGTCAGATGGGAGCTTCAGGCATTTGAAACTTAGCCCAGAAAACTTCATAAAGATGGAACACTGACTTTGCACACCTGAGAGATGCTGTAACTGCTTAGAAATACATAGCCGAAAGTATCTCGTTCCTGTAGCAAAGTGCAACTTCTGCATAAAATGAAGAAATGAGGCCAGGTGCAGTGGCTCACGCCTATAATCCCAGCACTTTGGGAGGCCAAGAGGGGTGGATCAGGAGTTCGAGACCAGCCTGACCAATATGATGAAACCCCGATTGTACTAAAAATACAAAAATTAGCCAGGCATGGCATCATGCGCCTGTAATCCCAGCTACTTGGGAGGCTGAGACAGGAGAATTGCTTGAACCTGGGAGGCGGAGGTTGCAGTGAGCCGAGATCGTGCCATTGCACTCCAGCTTGGGCAACAAGAGCGAAACTCCATCTCAAAAAAAAAAAAAAAAGAAGTGGAGAAGTGGAATGTGTTTCTCCATGCACTAAGCGTCAGCCTCCAAACTGTTTTCACTATCTAAGGCATAAGTTTCTAAAGGCAAACACCAATTTTGAAAATGAGCTCATCGTTCATTTCCCCTTATTACTGTCTCAGCATGTGCAATCTAGCATCTAAAGAGCTACCGTCCTGTTTCTGTAAGCATTTTCTACGGTGAAGGGAGAGGCGTGATTGGATAAGACAAACTGACTTTGTTTTTTGTTTTTTGAGATGGAGTTTTGCTCTTGTTGCCCAGGCTGGAGTACAATGGCGTGATCTCAGCTCACCATGACCTCTGCCTCCTGGGTTCAAGCGATTCTTCTGCCTCAGCCTCCCAAGTAGCTGGGATTACAGGTGTGCGCCACCATGCCTGGCTAATTTTGTATTTTTAGTAAAGACAGGGTTTCTCCATGTTGGTTAGGCTGGTCTTGAACTCCCAACCTCAGGTGATCTGCCCTCCTCGGCCTCCCAAAGTGCTGGTATTACAGGCATGAGCCACCGCGCCCGGCCGACAAATTGACTTTGATGCATAATATTTGGTAAAGGCACAGATAGAAGTAGACATCCACAGATTAAGGCAGGTTATTCTGCAAACTATGACATTCAATTGCATCCATCAGCTGGCGTCAGTGAAACAATCAAAAGGAACACCAAAGTCCATAAGGTTATTAGTTAGAAGGACCGTGGCTTGTTGGCGCCTTTGAAGGCTGGTGCTGGAATGGCTCTGACCCGGCTCTGTTGGCAGCTCTGGCTGCTGATTCTTCATTATACTCATGAAAACTGCCTGGTAGAGGAGCAAGAAGACCTGGCCACTTAGCCAAGAGCCCTAACTTTGGAATTAAAACATCAGGCTTTGGCCAGGCACGGTGGCTCACATGCCTGTAATCCCAGCACTTTGGGAGGCCAAAGTGGGCAGATCACCTAAGATCAGGAGTTCGGGACCAGTCTGGCCAACATAGTGAAACCCTGTCTCTACTAAAAAATACAAAAATTAGCCAGGCCTTGTGGCGGACGCCTGTAATCCCAGCTACTCAGGAGGCTGAGGCAGGAGAATCGCTTGAACCCGGAAAGTGGAGGTTGCAGTGAGCTGAGTTTGTGCCACTGCACTCCAGCCTGGGTGAGAGAGCAAGACTCTGTCTCAAAAAAATAAAATAAATAAAATAAAATCAGGCTTCATTGACGAGTTCTGTCACTTATTTGCTCTGCTGCCTTGAGCAAGATACTGAACCTCTCTGAAACTCACATCGCCTCAGCTGTGAAGTGGGGATGTCCCCTGCGTGCTGCGGAATTATAAGCTGTAGGGGTAACCTATGAAAAGTGCTACCAGAGTTTCTGATACCTGTCAGACTTTTATTTCAAAGAAAAACAAGTACAAAACATGACTACTCTCTACCCGGGCAGAGCGATATATATATCTGAGAACTCCTCAGACAATATGATGCTTCTTACGTGCAATGGTGAGTTTCTTGTGAAAAGAAGATAATTTTGCAAAAACCCAAAATAACTATATAGATAGTATCATGTTCTCTGGAAATTAAAAGGCAAAATAAAACCCCAAAACCCACATTTTTGTTATTTTAATAGAATTAGAAAAGACTGCTTTTTCCGATGGTCAGCCCACCTACGTCTGCCTTCTAAAATAATACCCGGGTCTCCTGCCAAATAATTTCTGATTAACTCAACAGAGAAGGAGGAAATGTCAGCAGCTTTCCGGCCTCTGAGCAAGACAACAGCTTCTTCCACCTGCTACATTTATACACTGAAACCACCTTTCTAAGACAGCTAAAGGAACGGAATGATGAAAAGTGGGAAATACTGGGGACTGAGTATTAGGCAAGGGTTTTTGTTTGTCCTCTTATGACTGTTACATTTACTCGAAGACACCATTCAGGTGTTCAAGTCAGTTAAGAGGGAGGCAAGGAATGAGATCTTGGACGCCAGGGTAGGGGAGCTGGGTGGGAAGGCTGAGCCGGTCACTCAGGAGCTGGACAGCCTGGAGCGAGTCACTTTGTCTTTCCTCGCCTGCAGTACAGCCTCTCTTCCCAGGTCACTGCGAGGACACGATGATAGATACTACAGCATAATGGTTCTGGTGCAGGAGTGGGAGCCCAGCAGAACTGCGTTTGAAGTATCTTTCTACCACTGAGTAGCTGTCTTGTGACCTTGGGCAAATTATGTAAATGCTCTAAAACTCAACTCCCTCTTCCAAAACTGGGCTGTATGAGGTCTACCTTGCAGGTTTGTTACAAGCGTCGCACACATGCATGTTTGTCCAGGGCTCCCCGAGGTCCATGGCGGGATACCCGTGAGGATGGAGGGATGTTCCTGGGGAAGCAGCCAACCAAGTACCTGGAGAAAACAGGTGCTCCGTCATCGTGTGGTCCCCCAGGAGAGCCGGGATCTAATGTCTGCTGAGCCCTCATTGGCCGGGGTGGGTGGTCTCTGGCCCCCAACAGGCCCAAGTGAGACGGATGCCAGGATTTGCAGCCCACACACCCTCCTGGAAGTCATCTCCATGGGCACACTGCTCGCTATGAGAGTATCCTTCCCTGCCCATCGGGTGGGAAGAATGGCACATGATTTTTATGGCCTGACTCTACATGAGAAATGTCAGTCAAAAATATGGCGTTCAGGCTGGGCGTGGTGGCTCACACCTGTAATCCCAGCACTTTGGGAGGCTGAGACAGGTAGATCACCCAAGGTCAGGAGTTTGAGACCAGCTTGGCCAACATGGTGAAACCCCGTCTCTACTAAAAATACAAAAAATAAGCCAGACGTAGTGTCAGCAGCCTGTAATCCCAGCTACTCGGGAGGCTGAGGTGAGAGAATTGCTTAAACCTGGAGGCAGAGGTTGCAGTAAGCTGAGACTGCATCATTGCACTCCAGCCTGAGCAACAAGAGCAAAACTCCATCTCAAATATATACATATATATATATATATATATATATATATATATATATATATATATATATATACATAGAGAGAGAGAGAGAGAGAGTTAAAAAACTCTGTGAAATGGTTACATCCTTAGGAAATATTATTTTCAAAGCTGAAGATGATATCTTAAACAACAACAACAACAAAAAAAACCCTTAAGTCCTTCTGGGGTTGACCTCCATGGATCTCTAGCGAAGTTTCAGTATAGGTCGTGGGACATCTCAGACTGCTAATTTAGAGAAGCTAAAACTAAAGAGTTTTAAGTCTGTTTCAACATGCACTGCTGCCTGTTTTACTTCTGTTGGTTATTTTGAGAAGTTCATCACGAGCCTTTTGCAAGCAAAAGCTGGGAGGCTCAAAGATGGATCTTCTTTCAAAGGAGTACTATACCTGGGGAAATGCCCTGTGGATATTTTTCTAAATATAAATTTTGATTCTCCAATAGGATTTTAAATGGAATCAGAAAGCCTCAAATGCTTTCCAAACAATTCCCTCTACGAAAGCTTCCTTCATTAGAAATGTACCCATTGATCAAAGTTTGTCCAAAATGTGACACTTCCAAGATATAAGGAGGCTTTGCTTTCAGCAAAGTGAAACTGACTTTGACCAAGTTCCCATTCACACCACGTCGATTCATGTTCACCAAACATCCAGGGCCCGGAAGGACCTTGGCGGTCACACAGCTTGTGGGTCAGCAGTGCCTAGTCACACAGAGGTAACCAGGGCGGTACCCATTCTCCAGGATCTGCCACCTCCACACAGGTGTCCACTGGAGGCTTGCTAGGCAGCTCGTAAAACACCATATTCTTTTTCAGACCAAGAAAAAAGAGCTTTCCCAAGCACAACCAACCCCATTTTTGTTAAAATCGCCTGTTTGAAGGGACTTAAAGTTTCTATTACCTTTTGTGGAGTAGATTCAGTATTTCTTTGGTTTCCTAGGGAATCTGAGGGAGTCTCCTGTGTGCTTGGAGGGAAAGGCCACTTTAAAATGGGCACTCTATTATGATTATTTGTAATCATGACGTTGTAATACAAAAGGAAGTCATCCTCCTCTCTGTCCTGCAATGAGAAGACAATAATACAAGTATACTTGGCTTAATCAAGAGCACTTTGCAACAGGAAGATATGTACCGGTGTTGAATCCGATTCTAAAAATATCTCCCATCATCTTTGTTTCTTTTGCAGTCTTAAATGTGTGGATGCATGCAAGCTGCATGGAAATCCAAAACAGAAGTCAAGCTTTGTTTTGAAGAAACCCTAACTAGCAAACCCTAGTTTGCTCTCCAGTTCAAGTGCTGGTGATGATATTAAAGAAGCGTGTAGTAGCTATAGAAGAAACTTTCTAAGATTCTTTCCATGGTTGCCTCAATAAGAAATGATTCTATTCCTTTTGCTTGCACAATCTTATCCAATTTTAGATCTCACTACTGATATAGCTCGGTTCTTCTTACAAGTAACTTGGCAATTACCCAATTCTCCTATCAGTAGTTAATGACATGGACAGATATGTGGTGGAAAGTGCCCTTTGCACATTGATTGATTTGCATTTCTCTGTTACAGAGGTTGACTTTTGCTTTCCCCAGTGGGAATATTTGTAAGGTACTTGGATTCTTTATTCATTTTTACTTTGCCAAGTTTCTGTAAGTTTAAATCTGGGTGAAAGGATTTGTTCTCTTCCTGTGCTTGATAAGTGTAAAAATTTATTACTTTAGCTTCTTTTTTATTTAGAATTTATTGGGAAATATTCCCTAGCATTGCCTTAAGAATCTGTTGGAAACTCTGCACCCTCTACCCAGACAAGTGCACATGACATACAGTATTTTGAAGATAATTTGAGGGCATTTACAGATGTTGTAATTTCCATCTAAGAAATGGCAGTGCTTCCATTGAGAGAAGGAGAAGAGAGAATGTACCGTCCACCTGCTTAGTGACAACCACCCAGGGAGCCTGAGGGCCACTGCAGTAAGGACAGGCCGTGTTGTGTGGGAGGTGCATGCATGCTGAGACGGACTGCTCCTTCTCAGTCACCTTTGCTGCGTCTTTCTCCTCTTCCTCACCTCTAAACACCGCAGGCCTCCCAACTCAAGCCTCTGCCTCACCTCTATTTCCACCAGGTGACCCGACCAATCCCACGGATTCACATGCCGTCTGTGCATGGCCGATTCTCACATTTGCTCTCTGGCCTCAACTTCCCCAGCGCCTGCTGGGCATTTCCCCCAGGATGCCGAAGAGATCGATCCAAACCGAATGCATGGACCCACCTGACTCCCGCCACTCTCCGACCCCGCACCCTCTCCCCGCGGAGGGCTCCAGCTCAGTGAACAGGAGCTCACGTCACCACGGGGACCAAAATGCCGGGATTCATCCTCCTTTTTTTCCACGTCTGCACCCAGTCCAGTACAAATCCTGTCTACGACACCTTCAAGATCTGCATCTGACCAAGTCCCAGCCCCTCGTCCTCACTCTAGTCCAGGTCCCTGGCTCCCCCAGCTGACCCCCAACCTTGCAAGGGGTGGCCGGATCCTCTACCCGGAAGTCAGTGACCCTTTAAACGCCAATAAGGTCCCCATGCTCTCAACCCTCCAACGGCTTCTGCCTCCCAGCTGGGGCACATTCCAGATCTCTGCTGCGGGTGATGTGCGGCCTGAAGGATGTGGCCCTGGTTCCTCCTGAGCTGTTTCTTCCTGGTGGTGTTGGGCCCCTCTGTGGGCAGAGGCTGTGCTGGCTTCGTCCCTGCTCCAGCAGCAGGCCCAGCATATCCTCCCCACAGAGCGGTGCCTGGACGCCCCCCACAGTGTTCACTGAGCCTCCTCCCTCCCCTGGCCTCACTGTGGTCTCTGCTAAGTGTCGCTACCTCAGAAGGGCCTTCCTTGACGCCATACCTCTTAATCTCTGTCGCCTATGGCTTTACTTGCTTCAAAACATGGACGAGTGTCTGACTGCAGTACCTATATGCTTGATTTTTCACTTATTTCTTTACCGTGTGTCTCTACCCTAGGGCGTGAGCTCTGTGAGAGCAGGGAGCGCCTTTCACTATGACATCTCCCTCGCCAGGAAGCACGCCCTGGGCCTAGTCAGCCTTCAAAAGACATTTGTTGGCTGGGCCCGGTGGTTCACGCTTGTAATCCCAACACTTTGGGAAGCTGAGGCAGGTGGATCACCTGAGGTCAGGAGTTCCAGACCAGCCTGGCCAACATGGTGAAATCCCGTCTCTACTAAAAATACAATCATTACCCAGGCATGGTGGTGCTCGCCTGTAATTCCAGCTACTCAGGAGGTTGAGGCAGGAGAATCTCTTGAACCCAGGAGGCAGAGGTTGCAGTGACCCAAGATCCCGCCACTGCACTCCAGCCTGGGCAACAGAGTGATACTCCTGGGCTTTGCCCTCGTGTGTGACTTAGGCAGGGTGCTGGGCTTTGCCGTCCTGTCTGACTTAGGCAGGAGCGCTGGGCTATGCTCTCCTGTCTGATTTAGGCAGGGCGCTGGGCTTTGCCCTCATCTCTGACTTAGGCAGGGGCGCTGAGCTTTGCCCTCGTGTCTGACTTAGGCAGGGGCGCTGGGCTTTGCCCTCCTGTCTGACTTAGGTAGGGGCGCTGGGCTTTGGAGCGTGTCCTGTGTCAAAGGTACTGCTGTCTTGAGGGAAGAATTATCAGCCCAAGGTAAGATTCCTTGGAGACACTCAGGCTTTGGAAAACACAAATAGATGCTGCTCTCGTGGAGAAAGGTGTTCATTATTCTGTTTAAACCAAGTCAGAGGAAAGTATTTTAAATACCCTCCAAAGCTCCCGGAAATGCAGGGCCCACCTGTCTGTTCAAAGACAGACCAACATCCTTCGTGTGAGCTGCAGCCTAAGCAGGGGTCTGGTGTGGACGCCACGTGACACACTCACCGTCTCCTCCGGATTTCTCACTGGGTTCCTCTGGGGACCACGCAGGACCCGCACTAGATGAGCATCACTGAGGCTGCAAGCCGGTGTGCAGACCCCTTCCAGACGCTCCCCCGCCGTCCAGTGTGCCCTGTAGAGGACTCAGTGCAAGTGGCCTCAAAAGGCCATTCACATTCACATTCTCAGTGAGACCAAAGAGAAGGAGACCAAGTGTCCTGACCCCTCTGACAGCCAGAGTTACCCCAGCACACCCTAGATCAGCAGTTCTCAAAGTGGGCTCCCGGGGCAGCAACCTCAGCGTCACCTGGGAGCTTGGGAAGAGGAGCTCGTGTTCTTAGGGCCCTCCCTAGAGCCGCTGAATCAGAAACTTTGGGATGGGGTCTGTCAATCTGTGTTTGGACAAGTTCCCCAGTGACTGTCACACACCATGAAGTCTGAGAACCACTGTTCCAAACCGAGGCTTCTAACTGGATGTTCATTCCCAGCCATTTGGAAGGCTCAGCTGAAAGCCAGTGAGCCAGAAGCCAGCTCCACTGATCCTGCTTTCCAGACTGGCCATTCTCACAATGTTCCATTAGGCAATAGGGCTCTTCGGGGAAATTAATAGAATGTAGGCTTCAGGAATCATCAGAAAGCTGCAGCTTCCCTCGTCAGGGAAGCTGACGTCTACATCGTCCTCAGTCTAGAACAAGAATAATAGGTGTACCTTAGAAAAATGTGCTTTCAGTCCATCAGTAAAAAGCCAATATTGTAAAATCCTATTATCTTTGCTTCAAGTGTTATCAAAAAAATAATAATAATAAAATAAAGGCTTAGAAGTTTCACTGTTCAACATGGCATTTCGAAATATTCGATGTAATTGTTGTCTTTACATTTGAGACTTTTTTAAAAAATGAATCATTTCCATTAATACAGAAAGAAATCTTTCTAGTGGAGGCTCAAAATTCAAATAATCAGAATCAGTTCTTCTAAAATGACTTACGTATAATCTTGTTTGCCAGACACTGAAGTAAGATGTCTGTATTAGCATTTTCTCCATTGCCGCAGGTTTCTGTCTCTGTGGGTTCGTGAAAACAACCTACAGCCAAAACTATGTCCACATACAGCAAACCCACATGCCACTTGATTTCATCAAATGCATAATAGGGGCATTCTAGAACCAGAGCTTTAAATGGCCTTTTTGTCTCCTTCCTCATACATCTGGGGCAGCGAACATGACATTAAAATGCAGCCAGAAAAATGTCCCATAAAGAACTTTATTGACAACAAGGTAAATTTTTAATAACTCTTCAGTAGGCTTCATTCAAGAGGGGGTAATATGTCATATGAGTAGGATTTTTACAGCTCTCATAGGAATTCCCCATATTAAAAGAATGTTTGCAGTTTAGAGAGAACCCAACTGCAAAACATTCCTGAACTGTGACAATATTTGTCTCAATCTAATATTATGTGGTGGATCTTTGTTTGTGGAGAGGGGAGAGGCTACGTCCTGCTGGAGTGATTTTTCCATCAATTCAGGGCTCAGCAAATATGACCCAAACAAACAACCAAATTGATTAAAATGCTTTATTGAGAAGGAAGAGATTGAGTCTTGGAGACCTGTTTCAATAGCTACTCATGTCACCAGCAGGGCAAAGGCCACATAGCTGACAAATACCACCACATCTCACAGAAGAGGCTGAGGCGTCCTGGCCGAATAATGCTTTATTCTGGAAAAGATCTGTACGAATCTGCAAAGCAGTGAAAATGTGTGGACGGCTTCTGTTTCTTCAGCCGCAAGGGAGGCCACCCTTCATTGCCGGAGGAAGGCCCGCCCTCCCGGCTGTGGTTGCTGTGGAGCTCACAGGGGTGAAGGCATGTGGAAATTCACTGCACCATGCCAGCCTGCAGGACTGGGAGCGTAGTTCCCACTAAAGAGCAAACACTGTACTGTTTTTCCAAAAAAAAAAAAAAAAGTTAAAATCTGGATCCCAATGTTTGTTCACAGCAGGGCTGTAAAACAAGTAGACAAAGATCTCAGGGGCTTTGTGACAGCATGGTGGATTGGAGTTAAAAAGAGGTGGTGTCATTTGGATACACAGATAGTCTAGGCGAGCCTTGAGAGCAGAGAAACTGGCCTCCAATCTAAAACACAAAATGAGGGCTAGAGACCGGTGTGAGGTGGAGAGTAAAACCCTTTGGTTAGGATTCAAGGCCAACTAAACTGCAGCTCTGCCTTTACTCTCCAGCCTTACTTTCTCCATCTGCAAAATGGGAGGGAGGCATTGGAGGTATTTTGTGAAAATCACTTAATACTGTGCTGACACGTAATCTTTCAATAGAAGATAAGTGAAACATATAAATATAAAATATGAAATAAATAGAGAATAAACAAGGTGAACAGAGGCCAGGCGCAGTGGCTCATGCCTGTAATCCCAGCCCTTTGGGAGGCCAAGGCGAGTGGCTAGCTTGAAGCCAGGAGTTCAAGACCAGCCTGGTCAACAGGGTGAAACCCCCTACTAAAAATACAAAAATTAACCGGGAATGGTGGCACGCACCTGTAATCCCAGGTACTCGGGAGGCTGAGGCACAAGAATTACTTGAACCCAGGAGGCAGAGGTTTCAGTGAGCACTCCAGCCTGGGCGACAGAGCGAGACTCCATCTCAAACAAAAACAAAAACAAACAAAACAATGTGAACAGAAACCTATACACTCCACTCTGAAATCCCAGACAAGTTCATCTTAGATGATGTGGCCATTCGGGTCATCAGGGGAAACAACGCTGTGACCAGCCTGCCTTCTGTGACGTGGCACCAGTTTCCAGTGTCACGCAGATGTCACAGCCCTGACCAGGTTCCATGCACACCATGGAACCCGTTTGTTTAAGTTTGTTTATGGCTCTGAAAACCAAGGCATGAAACTTTAATGTTTTCCACATTACACACCTGAGAAGTGATGTTGGGTGTTAGCACAGAATACCAGAAAGCATTTCTTTTTGGCCACCGTGAACATAGACCCTATTACTTTGAAGTTTGTTTCCTCCACATTTTATTGGTGAAAATGTCAGCCTGGTTCAGTCCATCCTTCAAAGATGTGTGGCTCCTTTTATTCACAAACACCCCACAACTCCTCACTGCCATTGGCCACACCTGACTTCCTTCTGTCTCCCGTGTTCCAACGTTACATTCTTTTTTCAGAGACCTCTCAGTTACTCCTGGTTTTTAAAACCTGATTGATCATCAGTGACTGGACAAACACTTTTTAATTTCCCAAGAACCACAGACAAAAACCATGGTGAGGGATCACTGGGATTTAATCACAGATGAGATTTAATCTGTTTATTTTTAGCTTCTTTATGAAAGTTGTAGTTGTAATTTTTTTCCTTCAAAGCGACCCAAGGAACCCTACTTGCATGGTTGGTGTATGTTGAGAACACCCCTTGTCCTGGGCTTAGAGGGTTCTGGTGAGATTGGCTCACATTTCCTTGACCAGACTCAGGATAGAAGCTCACCGTGGCCATGCTAGCCATCTTCCCCTCCCCAGAAGTGAGGTGATATTGTTTGGAGATTTGTCCCCACCCAATCTTATGTTGAGACATAACCCCCAGAAGTGAGGTGATATTGTTTGGAGATTTGTCCCCACCCAATCTTATGTTGAGATATAACCCCCAGAAGTGAGGTGATATTGTTTGGAGATTTGTCCCCACCCAATCTTATGTTGAGACATAACCCCCAGAAGTGAGGTGATATTGTTTGGAGATTTGTCCCCATCCAATCTTATGTTGAGATATAACCCCCAGTGTTGGAGGTGGGGCCTGGTGGGAGGTGCTTGCATCACAGGGGCAGATTCCTCATGGCTTGGTGCTGTCCTCGCCATGGTGAGTGAGTTCTAGAAAGATCTGGTCCTTTAAGTGTGTAGCCCCTCCCCTGTCTTACACCTGCCCCTGCCATGTGACCTGCCTGCTCCCACTTCCCCTCCCGCCATGCGTAAAAGCTCCCTGAGGCCTCCCCAGAAGCCCAGCAGATGCCGGCACCATACTTCTTGCACAGCCTGCAGAACTGCAAGCCAATTAAACCTCTTCTCTTTATAAATTACCCTGTCTCATGTGTTTCTTTACAGCAATGTGAGACAGGCCCAACACGTGAGGACCCCCTCCTGAGCAGTGCCCTCAGTGGGGGAAGGACACAGGGGGTCCCCGGCCTGTGCACCCTACCCACCTGCCACAGTCATGGCTCTGTCATGGCGGTCTCTTTGTGGTTGGGTGTCTGGGTCTTCCCTGCCCTCCCATTTCCTCTTCTGCTGGGTTTGAGCCTCCTGGCTGCTTGCAGGGCCACAGCCCCAGTGCAGCGGGAGAGGAGCCTAAAGCAGCCTCAGGAGCAACCCAGGGCCTGGGATGTGGGGGTGGACAGGGTGGGCAGAGGCCAGAGGCCAACATGACGCCCTGGGCCCTCTGTGGAGATTGTTATTGCTGCTCACAACAGCCTGTTGAAGAAGCTATGTTGTCTGGGGTAAATACCCGGGGTTCATTGTCTCACACCAGGAAAACTGAGGACATGGACACACATGAGGAGTTTAGGAATGGAGGTTTAATAGGCAAAGGAGAGAGAAAGAAAGAGAAAGGAAAACAGCTTTCTCTCTAGTGAGAGAGAGGGGACTTCCCAGAGGAAAAGGCTGGCCAGCAGATGCGCTGGATTTTATAGTCAGGTTTGAGGAGGCGGTGTCTGGTTTACATTAGGGCTTACAGATTGGTCCCATCAGGTATGACGTTTATATAGCACAGGGGGAAGCCTGGCCGCCCCACCCTAATCTTATTATGCAAATGAACTTTCCTGTTGGCCAGGCCATCTTGTCTGCCCCTTACTGTGCACGTGGCTGACAAAGAGAAGGGAAGATGGAGTCACCGTCTTGAACTTGACTGGCACAACTGCCGGCATCTATGTCTGCAGCTCGATTTTACAGGCTGCTCTTTGTTAGAAAGGAAACTAATTTGGGCCTGCTTTACATGAAAAGGAAAACCTTACTGAGGACTTCCGTACCCTCACTATCTGCCTAAGTAATTTCTTCTTAACTCCTGGATCACTGTAAGGCCGGCATCGCTTCCATCCTAGAGGAGAAAGCCTGCATTCGGGGAAGTGAAGTGCTTTGCCCACTCCATCTGTCCACCACACGCCAGCCTGGAGCTGGTGCAGCAAGGCCAGGTGTGTTCTGCAGCCTCCAGGAACAGAATCCCACCCGCAGCCGCAGGGTGCACGCCCAAGGTCCTGTGTGACAGTTAAGCCGGACTCAGGGCTGCTTCAATGCCTAGGACGGGGGAGACGTTCCTGCTCTCCGGAAGCTTCAAGAGGAGTTAATGGCCACAGTCAGAAATGCTCAGGGACTTCCATACTGGGCAGGAAGTTGACCCACCCAACCCCAGAGTCCCTCACAACCCTAACATTCCCTGAGTGCACGCAAGCAAATCGAACAGTTCAATAAGTTAGCTAAACTGCACCAGGCGCAGTGGCTCACACCTGTAATCCCAGCACTTCGGGAGGCCAAGGTGGGCCGATCACTTGAGGTCAGGAGTTTGAGACCAGCCTGGCCAACGTGGCAAAATCCCATCTCTACAAAAAAAAAAACAAAAATTAGTCAGGCATGGTGGCTCATGGCTGTAATCCCAGCTACTCAGGAGGCTGAGGCATGAGAATTACTTAAGCCAGGGAAGCAGAGATTGCAGCGAGCCAAGATGGCACCACTGCACTCCAGCCTGGGCAATAGCATGAGACTCAGTCTCAAAAGAAAAAAAAAAGTTAGCAAAACTGTAAAGAGCAGTTTATCCAAAGGCCGAAGCAAAGGGAGGCAAGGACATCTTCAGCTCCCACTCCCTCTGAAGTCAGCATATCTCATCTCCACGCCATCCAGCACTCTGCATCCCTCCCCTACTCCACCCTGCAGTCAGCATCCCATCCCCACTCCCCTGCAGTGTGCATCCTCCCCAACTCCCCCTGCAGTCAGCATCCCTCCCCAACTCCCCCTGCAGCCAGAAAACCTCCCCCACTCACCCTGCATTCAGCGTCCCTCCCCAACTCCCCCTGCAGTCAGAATCCCTCCCCAACTCCCCCTGCACACAGCATCCCTCCCCAACTCCCCCTGCAGTCAGAATCCCTCCCCAACTCCCCCTGCAGCCAGAATCCCTCCCCCACTCCCCCTGCACTCAGCATCCTTCCCCCACTCCCCCTGCAGTCAGAATCCCTCCCCAACTCCCCCTGCAGCCAGAATCCCTCCCCCACTCCCCCTGCAGCCAGAATCCCTCCTTGGCACTTTCCTTTCTCCCCTTCCCCCCTATTCCCAGAAAAGCAGGACAGCACCCTCCTGGCTCAGAAGTGTCCCCTGGTTCCCATTTCTCTGTGTCCCTTTCCTTCCAGGTGGTGTGAGGGTCCAACTCTGACTTAGGATCTAGGAAACAAGAGTTTCCAGCCACGCGCTGCCACTGAACAGCTGGGAGGTCTTGGCCAAGTAACTTCAACTCTGTGGGCCCCAGTTTCTCTGTCTGTAAAATGAATGGTGGGGCCAGGCTTGATCTCTAAAGTTTCCCCCAAGCACTGGAGTTGGGACTCTGATCCGTGATCTAGAGAATCAGGTGCTACTTCTCCCACGTAGCATTTTACCACCATCTGCCTCCGTGGGCCTTTGGAGGGGAGTAAATACAGCCAAGGCGACTCCAATCTGGGGCACTCTCCACAGGGGAGGGAGCTGACTCCTGGAGTGGGATCGCCCCACAGAGATGCTGCAGGTCACCCCCCTCCCCTGGCTAAAGCGTTTCTCAGGGAGGAAATGGGACTTGGCCCAAGGTTGTCCGCAGGGGCCTGGGAATGAGTCACCCTGGAGTGTGGCCCTTGTGGAGAGCATCCTGTGCCAGCCTCGCCCCCTCCCAGTGTTCTGGGGCCCCTCTGTCAAGGCTGCTTTCTCCAAGGCTGAAAGGGCCCTGGCTCTTTCTCACAGCTCCTCTCTGCTGGGAGCCCCGCTTGCCATGGCCACCACGCCAGGAGGTTCTTTCCATGTTTACTCGCTTTCTAGCCCATGAGACCTTTCTCTTCTCCCTCTAATCCTTTCTGCCCTATGCAGGCATCCCTAAGAGGCCTCACTTCTGTCCTTAATGACCCGCAGCGTGGGACCCCATGCTGGCTCTGTCACACCGAGTGGAATCCCATCTTCCTCATTATTTTCCTTGCATTTTCCAACTTATTTTCTCTGGAAAATCTTAAAATTTGAATTGCTGCTTTGTGGGGACAGTTTCAAGTTTGAGTCAGGCAGGATCAGAGCACCTGATTCTTATTTGAATACGATAAACCTTTATTATAACTCTTATTTTAGGGTCGGGGTACCTGCGCGGGTTTGTTATATCGGTTAACTGCATGTCACAGGGCTTTGGTGCACAGGTAATTTCATCCTCCGGGTAATAAGCCTGGTACCCAGTAGGTATCTCCTCTGATCCTCTCCCTCCTCCCACCCTCCGCCCTAAAGTAGCCCTGGTGTCTGCTGTTCCCATCTTTGTGTCCATGTGTTCTCATCACTTAGCTCCCACTTACAAATGAGAACATGTGGTATTTGGTTTTCTGTTCCTGCATTAGTTTGCTAAGAGTAATGGCCTCCAGCTCCATCCACTTCCCTGCAAAAGACACCATCTCATTTTTTTATGGCTGGGAAAGATTCCACGGTGTATGTACACCACAGTTTCTTTATCCAGTCTACCACTGATGGCCATTTAGGTTGATTCTCTGTCTTCGACAGCACCTGATTCTAAAGGAATAAGGAGAGTAGTTTGATCCAGTGAGAAATGAGACAGATGTGGGGGGCATCTTTACCGAATGGTGTCCCCGCTGCATAAGCAGAGATGTGTTGCAAGGGATCTCTGGATTATAAGCTCCTGTTTTTATCATATCCCCTCATGTGTTGACCAGGTGCTGCTTGCCCAGCATGCTGTGAACCTGCACTGAGAGGGAAGGTGGTGTCTCCGGGGGTGGGAAGCAGCAGCCTCAATTTGCTGGCAGGGCCCTGAGCACCTAACCTAGGGGGGAGCGCCTAACCCAGGGGGAGCGCCTAACCCAGGAGGGAGCGCCTAACCCAGGGAGGGGCACCTTACTCAGTGGGGACCGCTTAACCCTGGGGGAGCGCCTAACCCAGAGGGGAGCGCCTAACCCAGGGAGAAGTGCCTAACCTGGGGGGAGCACTTAACCCAAGAAGGAGCACCTAACCCGGGGTGGAAGCAGACACCTCTCACGGGAGCTACCCCAAACTCTGCAGAAATCATCTGAGTCCCTTTGTTCCTCCCCTTCTCATTCACCCCTTCTTCCTGACCCTTTTCTTAATCCAGCTTCTTTTTATCTCCTTTTCCTCTTTCTCCATCTCTGTGGCCTAGTCCAAGGATCTCTAGTGGAATTCCGGGGCAGCTATTGGTCCACAGAAACAGAGCAGTGAAGTCCTCCAACAATGCAATGAGTTACTGCAAATGAAGGGAAGCACGTGGGTGGAAACAGGCGGGGCCGACCCAGGGAAGGACAGAAATGGGGCTGATAAAGGAAGAAGAAGGCCATGCATGGTGGCTCACGCCTGTAATCCCAGCACTTTGGGAGATGGGCAGATCACTTGAGTACAGGAGTTTGAGACCAGCCTGGGCAACATGGCAAAACCTCGTCTTTACAAAAAATATACAAAATTAGCCAGGGGTGGCGATGTGCACCTGTGGTTCTAGCTACTTGGAGGCTGAGGTGGGAGGATCACTTGAGCCTGGGAGGCAAAGGCTATAGTGGCTGAAATCACATCACTATACTCCAGCCTGGGCAACAGAGCAAGACCCTGCCTCAAATTTTTTTTTCAAATATTAATAATAATAGAGAGAAACTGAGTCCGAGTGCCCACTGCCCCTGCTCCCCAGGGCAGGGAGAGGGGATGCAGGGCCAGGCCGTGCTGGACCCGGGCCATGAGTGCCCCTGGGTACCTGGTGGCTCTGAGTGGTTTTCTTGTAAACCATCTGAGCTGGCTCAAAGGAGCCTCTGCTAAGTGGGGTGACAAATGTCATTCTCCATTGAAAGAAGGAGATCCTCTGCCTGACACCTAAAGAAGCTCCCTGGTGTCACGATTCCCCCCTGGCCACTAATCCAACTCTGGAGGCTGTGCTTCATTTCCTCCCTGGTCTCAGCTGTGATCCCTGTGCTTTCACTCCCTTCCCCACCAAAACCCATAAGCTGAGCTCTTTAGAGCAAAGGGCTATTTTTCTGCCCTTTCCCCTACGTCCAGTATGCCCATCCCCTGATGCATGAGCACCACCCCCAACCCCACTTAGAGGATATCGTGCACACTGCACAGGCCAGCAGCACCTCGCCGCCTGGCCTCCCACATCTGCTTCATGATGAGGCTACCAGCGTCCCAGAGAGTGGAACTCAGGTACAACGTGATCAAGGGGCATGACTCAGCTTTTTCTCAAACAGTTCTCTTTGTATCAGTTCGCATATCTTGGACAGTCTTCACTGAAGGGTGAGGATGGGGAAGAAATTCAATTCATGTGTTGAATGCCTATTTGACTAAGTGCAATGCCACTTCACAATGCTTATTAAGGAAGAGAAATAAAAATTAATTTTAAAAAGTTAGGGTCACAAAAGAATATATACAAATGACCAAGAAGCATGCTAAAAAAGTTCTTGTTTTCATAAATCATCAGGGAAATGCAAGTCAACCACATTAAAATACACCACACATTCTCCAGAAAGGCAACAAATAGACTAGGTCACACCAGGACTCAGACATTGTTGTGGGGGAGTAAAATGCTGCCATCATTTCAACTATGACCCACTCATTTCACTCCTGGATATTTATCCAAGAGAAAGGAAAACATTCATACACAAAATTACTTGTGCAAAAATGTTCAAACAGCCCAAGTGTCCGTCAATAGGAGAAGGAATGAAGAAACCACAGTATGTTCCCACAATAAAGGAATAAAAGTCAGTGAGCTAGGCCAGGGGTGCCGTGGCTCACGCCTATAATCCCAGCACTTTGTGAGACCAAGGCACTCGAATAATTTGAGGTCAGGAGTTCGAGACCAGCCTAACCAACATGGTGAAACATCACCTCTACTAAAATTACAAAATTAGCCGTGTATGGTGGTACATGTCTGTAGTCCCAGCCACTTGGAAGGCTGAGGCAGGAGAATTGCTTGAACCCAAGAGGGAGAGGTTGCAGTGAGCCAAGACTGCACCATCGCACTCCAGCCTGGGCAACAAGAGCGAAATTCCATCTCAAAAAAAAGAAAAAGCGGCAAGCTAGGGACACCTGCACCACCGTGGATGAAACCCAGAACTTCGCTGAGTAAGACAGCGTGCTGCAGATTCCATCTACACAAAGTTCTAGAAAAGACAAAATAGTCTATCGTGGAAAAAAACAGGAACAGTGATGATGTTACTTCTGTGTGGTCAGAGATTGACTGGGGCAGGCCGCCGGGGAACTTTATGGAGTGATAACTTTATGGGGTGATGGGAATGTTCTAGAACTTGACAGAAGTTTGGGTTATAAAAGTGTTTGCATTTGTCAAATCACCAGCAAATATACACAAGAAATTTGTGTTTCCTGGTAAATTGTTCCTCCAAAGAAAAATAAACCATAAAATGTTGGATAAAAAAAGTCATGGTCCTTCCCGGAAGCGGTGTAGGAGGGAGGACTGGCGAGAGTGCAGCTGACCCCGTGTGATCGCAGCCTGCTGTATGTGAGAGACGCAGTTGCAGTGAGGAAAGCACGTGCCCCTCACTCCACATTTGTGGGCAAAATGTCAGGAATCCAAGGAACACTATTCTTAGAACTGGACGTTTTGGGACAGTCCCTCAGTGCAATCCTCAAGGGCAGTAGCCTGGACCGATCCGAAGACCCTGCCACGCCCCCTCTCCCAATGCCGCTGCCACCAGAAAAGACAACTATCAGAAACTTCCAAGCTGAAAATCCTCAGTGTTGCAAGGGCCAGTCGAGGTTGTCTTGTTCCACTTCCCACCCAGTGCAGGAACGCCTGGACCTGGCAAAACCCTGACACAGGTCAACCAGATGTTTTGTGTCTTCTGACCTGCAGCAAGTAGAAGTCCCTGCAATGCTTTCTGTCCAGCAACGTTTAACTCGAGGCCATCAGCGGTTTAGCTATGAGCGCCAGTTTACAGGCAATGCAGGGGTTGTGCAACACAGCCGGCCCAAAATAAGCCAATACCATAAAAAGAGGACTTCAGGGACACAACCACCAGTTAACATGCATGGCCACGGACTGGTTACTGGTTTGAACGAAGCTACCAGAAAGAACACACAATTTGAACACAGACCAGGTATTAGAGAAGAAATGTGGCAGACTAGAGAGATGGAGACTGTTGTGTAAAGCAGGCTACCCAACGGGATACACATTCTGTCTTATTCTGAGACACGGTTTCTTCAGGAGGATGTACCCTGAGCTAGTCACAGTGACGATCTCTGAGCCATAAAAATGTAGAGTTTTTACTCCTTCATTTTCTGATCATCTCTATTTTCTAAGTTTCTACCATCCGTATGTGCCACATCTGTCGCAGGTTGAACTGTGTCCCCCAGATTCATGTGTTGAAGTCCTAACTCCCAGGACCTCAGAAGGTGACCCTGTTGGGACAGAGGGTTATTGCAGGTGTCATTAGTCAAGTTAGGATGAGGTCAAACAGTAGGGTGGGCCCCTAATCCAATATGTCTGGTGTCCTTATAGAAAGAAGGAATGTGGACACAGACCCACATGCAGGGAGATGCTGTGTGAAGAGGAAGGCAGAGACCAGGATGATGCTTCTACCAGCCAAGGAACACCAAAGACCACCGGCCACCTCCGGGTGCCGAGGTGAGTCCTGAGCCACGCCTCCCTTGGGGCCTCAGCAGGACCCAGCTGCGACTGCACCTTGGCCTATGACTTCCAGCCTCCAGACCCTGTGCGGTGCATTCTTGTTACTTAAGCACCCAGTCTGTGGTAATTTATGTTGGCCAGCAAACTAACATCTATAACCATACAAATGACTTGAAATTTAAAAATAAAGTGGCCTGAGTGGGGCCTGCATGGGGTGCCCGGAAGACAGAGAGCAAACCCTCGCCCTGCCAGGGGCTCCTGCCTCCCAGGACAGTGGCTGCCACACCACAGGCAGCTCGGGTCACCAGAACCTTCTTCCTCCCACTCTGGGAAGCTGCGGCCAGGCTCTCCCCACGTGGCTTTCCCGGGTCAGTCTCCCGGGAGTTGCTTTTTTCTGGGAGCTGCGTGAGGAGCTGCTGTTCATGGAGGGTCCTGGGGCATGGCAGGGACACCAAACGGGTGCTCCTGGGGCACTCCAGGTCCTGGGGGACACTGAGCCAGGGCGGCCTGATGTCCTCAAGGAGCCGCCAGCCTGGCCCGGAGAGCCTGAGTCTATTATTATAAAGCAAAGCCTCACCCTCCCATGACGTGGCTGGCCTGGGTGCAGAAACCTGAGCTGCTCCAGGCCCAGCAGATGGAAATAACCTCCAAGAATAACCGGCCCGCACCGCACGCCTCTCCTGCCACCGCGGCGGGGCCTGCACTTCCTTCCTAAACTCCCCGGGACAGCAATCCCGCCTCACAGACTCAAATGCCATCAGCGGGAACAATCGGAGGAAGTGTGGCGCTTTCTCCGCTCAGGGAGCGAAACGGGGACCCTGCTTATCAAAATGACAAGATTTATTCAGTTGCTACAAACTACCAAAGACTTCCTTTCCCAAAAGAAAGGCCGGAGGGGAAGGTCATGTCCTTCGGCCACCTCCATTGAGCCAAGAGCACCATCTGCTTTGCTTCAAGCACATCGGTGGCTGACTCCCCGTCCCCCAGCTCTGCCTGCCTGGGGGTAGGTTTGCAGTCTCTCAAAGAGGGGCTGTGTAGGAAGGAGCAACCAGCTCTCAGTCCCTGAGCACGGGAGGCCAGCACCACCTGAGTCCACCGAGTCGTCAGCACACCTGGGAAGGGAAAGGAGGGGAGGGAGGCCTGGCCAAGGAAGGGGAGTTCCGCAGCAGCCCTCACCTGAGCTCCTGGCGGCCTCTGGTATGAACCCCCAGCATGGAGCCAGCACCCTCAGCCCAAGACTCACCCCCTCCTGGACAGTTCTCTGCCTCTCTGGAGTCCCTCCTCTCCCTCCCACCCCCAGCAGCCACAGGAGTCTTCCTAAAGTCTCATTTTCCTCAAGTCCTTAACCTCCTCCAATCCTTCCCTACTTCTCAACCCTGAGTAGAACACAGACCCTCGGCCAGGCAAATGGGGCCTCAGTCACCAGGCCCCAAGCAAGCCCTACATCCTGTCCTGGCCTTTGTTCAGGCCGCTCCCATTACTTGGGGTTCCCTCTCCTTTCCTGTCCCCAAATGGCCAGGCAGAGCCACCCGCCAAACCCTTCTAGGCCCAGTCCTGTCCTTCTCCAAGCGAGCCTCTGCTTCTTGGCTCTGCAGATGGCACTCTTCATTTCGTGATGTTTATCCTGTGCTCACCCAACAGTGTCCAGGTGGGCAGAGAGCATTCCTAGACCCGGAGGGACTAAAGGAAACCATTCCCTAATCAGAACCAGCAACTCCACGGCACATGGAGCAGATCTGCAGGGGGCCCTTCATTCTGCATGGGAGACGTGGGCCCCGAGACAGCTTTCCCCAGGGTCACAGCACCACGTCTGTGCACCTGGCCCTCTACCACGCTATGCGCGCATCAGGCTGATGAGCCAAGTGCCAAGCAGAAAGGTCACACTCTTCCTCACGGGATCCAAAAAAGGAGATGTGTCCAAGACTGCCCACCACCGTCCGAGGAAGAGCTGAGGGTCCACCGAGTGCCCAGGAGACCACCTGGAATTTCTGGTGCCAGCTTGTTAGTTGACAGAGGAAGACAGCTTCAGACAGCGCCACCCATCCCCGGAGGATGCCTGTCCTCAGCCTCAGAGACCTATTTATGTACTTATTCATTTAATTTTTTAGACAAAACCTCACTCTGTCACCCAGGCTGGAGTGCAAGTGGCATGATCTCAGCTCACTGCAGCCTTGACCTCTGGGGCCAGCTGATCCTCCCACCTCAGCCTCCCAAGTAGCTGGGACTACAGGCTTGTATCACCATACCTGGCTAATTGTTTTTATTTTTTTGTAGTGACAGGGTCTCACCATATTGCCCAGGCTGGTCTCAAACTTCTGGGCTCAAGGGATCTGCCCATCTCAACCTCCCAAAGTGCTGGAATTAAAGGCGTGAGCCACTGTGCTCAGTCAGAAGATGTTTTTGAGCAGAACAGTCTATCAAAGGGAGTGGGGCATTTTCCAGGAGATAGATGAACCCACTTTTGAAGTGGGTATCTACTTTGAAGGGGCTCCCTGAGTCTCCTGATCTAAAAAGCCGAGAACCAGACCCTAGACAGGGGGGATGAATCACTGGCGTGAATGCCTCGATTCTTTCCATTTGTATCCATGGGACACTTAACTAATAATCACGGCACAGTTTCCAGTTAAATATGGACACAGCTTCAGAATCCTTCTTAACACTACAGCTCAGCCAGAGTGGGTGCAAAAGCTTAAGTCCATCTACTCTACAGGCCCTTGATAAGGAGGATTCTCTCCTGTTTACCCAGTGAGGAAACACCCACACAAACAGCCAGCTGGTCCCCTCTTGGGCATCTCCCTGAGCGTGACACTCTCAAGACCTTGCTTGGTCTAACATCCAGCCCTCTCTGAGTTGCTCTCCCACACCTGGCAGCACTGGGCAGTGGACTTGAGTGGGAGAACAACACACTCCAGTTGGCCAACCTCCTCTAGACAGGCCTGGCAAGCTCTCTTAGCACCTGGATGACTCAGCGGCACTTCCAGCGATTCTCTGTGTGCCAATCAACCAATCAACATTTAATTGGGCACCTTTTATGGGCATCCTTAAGCCTGAGCAGAGACTCAGATCCAGTGGATCACCTGATGAAACTCTAAAATGCTGCACTCATGTTAAAAGTGCCTTAAGAAATAGGACGTTTATTATATCATGTAACTAGAAGTGAACCAATCAGAATTGGTTAGGACAGTGCTTGGTCAGAGGAAGGCTTAGGTGCTCCCCACTTCTTCCTCCGCCCTCTTGTCCCATTGTCAGCCTTGGCCTCTGGTCCTGGAAGGGCTGTGTCTGCTCTAGGCATCATTCGTGTAAGAGCCATGGCGTCTGATGAAGAAGAGGGCTTCCTACCCTCACTCAGAAATCAGAAGAAGAGACATCCTTCCCAGAAATGCCCGGCCAACTTCCCTTTGGATCCCATGGGTCTGCACCATGTTGAGCCAAAGCCAAAACTAATCACTCCAGAGGGAAGGAGACCACCACGATTCGCTCAAACCCCCAGGAGGCTTCTTAGGAGAAATCAGCGGCAGAGTCCCCGCTGTCGATAGGCCACAGCATACACAAACTTTGCCTACAATTTTGGGGATTCATATACCCACTAAAGTCTCTCCATAGACCACCCACTAAGATCCCCTGAGGGCCTGTGGGGCAGGCACTGTTAACATGATGAACTTAGCCCATGGAGAAGCTGCATCCAGCTAGGGAGAGACATCACACAGGTGCAGGTCAACTTTGTAGAAGCTGACTCACTAAACACGATCACAGTCAGTGTAATAGCACAAAGAGCAAGCCCACCACTGCCATGCAGATCAGGCGGAGGTATGAGGCCTGGAAGATGCGGACAAACTGAGTTGACTGAAAGGATGGACACGATTCCAGAAGGAGGAAAGGCAGGCGGAGCTGGGACCAACAGGCATTCCACACCCGGAAAAAGCCAAAAGTTTTCACATGACAGAAGAGTTTGCAGCTGCGGTCACAGCTAAGCCATGGCAGGCTGGCTGCAGTGTTTGTATTGAGTCCTTTTGATGACAGCATGAATTCTGAGAACAAAGCTTCCAGGCTGTGGCTGTGTAACTGGAACCCAGAGACAAAAATAGCTTCTCTTCTCATGCATATGTGAGGTCTGATCTGTAAGTCTGAGAAAGAGTTTTTGCCATTTATGAAACTTAGAAGATTCCTCAACAACCACAGATCCTATGAATGAACATTTTTATTTGGCTGGATCCATCAGATTTAATATTCTTTCAGCTATTTGGTAGCTGCCTAACTTCTCCTTCTCATTGAAAAATCCAGTGACTTTTGAAGCTGTTTTGAGATATAAGAATAATAGAGAGTGAATTAGCGGATTAAAAGATCAGCGTTCTTATAATAACATTAAAGAGAGTATCAGGGAGCCAAGTAGTCTTGAGAGAATAAAGCTTTCCTCAAAGAGACAACTCTACACGCTCAGCTGATATTTCTAAATTGAGTCAGGAAATGTTCCAGGGAGGACACAGCTAGCTTGTGCCTTAATTCAGTGCCTGATTTAGATTTGTATACCCTCGTATAGGTCAGTACAAAATGAATCATGGGGAGTCGTGTATTCATAACAGGTGATACAGAGAAATTAAGATAATTTAGTTATGTGTCATTTAAAGTACTTATTAATAAAATAACATACATAGGTGTATCTAAGTTCCTCTACCTACATCAGATAAATTGCATTAACTGATAGCTTCATCTCATCTTTAGCTACATATTTTAAAAATATCCGTAATTAATTATTTCAATAAATTATATTATAAAATAATGTTAAGACTTAACATTATTCTAAATACACTCTCATTTTAATCACCATGTAATATGTTATAGAATTAGTATTCTTATGACAAAGTAACCATTTCTGTATTAGGGGATGCTAACCTATTTTTATTCTCATAATTCTAACTACATGTCTCATTATAAGTATAGCTTTCTCTTAATTTGAATTATTTCATTCTCAGGAAGAGAATGATGAGATCCAAGTGTAGCGTATTCTGGCTTTTGATGAGAATTACCAAATGGTCTTCCAAAGTAATCAAACACATTTGCACTACCGTCAGGAACTCCTGGATATTCCTACTTAACTGTCGGGACCAGCGTCAGTTTTTACCGCGTTTCTGAATTCTCGATCATTTCTCAAGTGCTGTCAAAATGGTGTTGGATACTTGCATTACTTTGTGCTTCGTCACTAATTAGTAACGGTTTTCTTCCCCTAATATTCATTGAATTCATTCATTTCTTTTTTTCCATTTCTGTGAACTGTGAACCCTTCGCCATTTGTCTTTTAGGGACTTTTATGTGCTTGGAGATTTGTAAGAGCCCTTTCTATACTTTTCACATTGAGTCTCTGTCCCTTCTCACAATGATGCCTACTGTTACCATATTATCATTATCCGCCACTCCTTGTTATGACCACATGCCAAGCTCTGTGCTGAATAACTTCGTTACCACAACCCTACAAGGAAGTACTGTCATCCCCATTTCACAGGAGAGAACGTAGAGGCTCCCCACTCACACATTTTGCTGGCGTCACAAGGCTAATGGCCTTGGAGCTGACTCGATGGCGCCTCCTGTCTTCTAATCCCACTCCACAACCGCCCCAGCATTGTCTGTACAGCTGCTGTCTACGCTGATGCGTTCTGTGTCCTGGGGTTTTATGACACGGTGGGTTTTCAGTCTATATGACCACATATGTTCATATTGTTTTAAGTTTTCTCTTTCTCTGCAACCATAGTTACCACTAAGTATGTATTTGTTGACTTTTCTTGATGTGGCATTTTCACGAGCCCCATTGCTTCCTATTCTTTTTTTATAGAGAGATTTTGATGTTCTTGGCGTCACTTGAAGTTGACTGTCACCTCAGACGTGGAGACCTTTTTGTCACAGGCAGAATTTTGCTCTATGGGGATTTTTTCATCCATCTATCTATCTTCATTTTTAAATTTAAGCAATATGATTTTCCACATGGGAGAAGAAAAATGAGGCCTTAAACAGTGGTGCTTTGGTCAAAAGAGTCAAAGTGAAATAAATGTGAGGGATCTAGGCCGCTGCTCCCTAGCTATGGTGCTGAGCGGCTGCTGCCAACGCCAGAGAGAAAGCCATGCCTTTGAGGCTGACGACAAAACCACGCTCTTGGGGGTCAGTCCTCCAATGTTGCCATTCATGGGAACGAGACAGCCCTGCCCCCCTGTGCTCCAGGATTTTGTCTGCTGTTTACCTCCTGTCAAATACCCTGAGACGGTGGCTGGGGTTTGTCCTGCCCATTGGAACTGTCCCATCTCATCCCAACTGGGCCACAGGCTCCATCCACTCTTGCCTCATGAACCCCATCCTGCTGTCCTGCACCCCTCTTAAACTGCCAGCCAAGCCTCTCTTTTAGATACATTCTGTAGCCCTAGGGCTGGTAACCCAACCAACCCCGAGCAATGAGAGCCGTGGCTCCCGGCTGCCATGTCTCCGAGGTGACCAAGAATACTGTCACTGTGGAATGCAGACTGTTGGATTTTCAAACTTGCTGCTGCTCCCACCGCTGCAGCTGTTGTCATTTGAGCAATTCTAATGAGGGAGGTGCTCATTTAAAAGTCGGTTCTTTCAGTCAGCCAATAGGTGAGAAAAGAAAAAAAAAAAAAGTCAGTTCCTACAATTATCCTAAGTAAGAGACCAGATTCCGAACAGCTGGTTCAAAGGAGGAGGTGACTGAGGATGCTGACACTCCTCAGGTCCCCTTTGCTCCACATGACGCTGCCTCTGGAGACATCTGGCCACTCCCTGCAGTCTTTGGGAGCCCAGCACACACAGTGCCCACGCTCTCATTTCCTGCTTTAACTTCTTGGACCACCAGCCTGAGCCTGCCTTTTATTTCAGACTTCGCTACTTTTCGGGAGCTCTCGCATCTGCTGATTTACAGGCCTTGTGCACTCTTTTCTTTTATTGCTGCTGGCATTTCCCTGGCCATCCACGTTGGTCATTTCCACCGCAAGTCTATTTATTTCCCAGTGGTGCACATATGTGTCCAGCTCCAGGCAATTTCGCTTTGTCTGCCTACCTGGTTCTGCAGTCTCTGACTTGCACAGCCAGCCCCTGCTGGGGACCTCATATGAATGTTCTTTTTTTGGCCTGCAGTTTATTCTGTGGCTGTGAAGATCTCCAGCACATCCAATATATGACAGTCATCATCTATGATATTTATCATAATGAGTGAAACTGGCTTAGGGCTTCCTAGGGCTGCCTTTACAACGTACTATAAGCCAGGGGGCTTAAAACAATAGACAATTATTCTGTCACCGTTTGGGGGCTACCAGTCTGAAGTCAAGGTGTTGATGAGCCATGCTCTCTCCAAAGCCTCTAGGGAACGGCCCCTCCTCGCCTCTTCTGGTCCCAATGTTCCTTGGCCTGTGGTAGTGTCGCTCCAGCTCCTGCCTGCTTCATCACATGGCTTTCTCCTGTGTGTCCCTGTCTTCTCTTCTTAGAAGGACATCAATCCTATTAAATTAAGGCTCATGCTAATGACGTCATCATGACTTGATTCCATTTGCAAAAACTCTATTCCCAAATAAGGTCACATTCACAGGTATCTGGGGTTAGGACGCCCTATCTTTTGTGGGGACACAGTTCAGCCCACCATACAGGCAAAGGTGGTCCTTGGCCTCCTTTCCCATCACCCCACCTGACATCTCCCTTCCCAGCTTCCTGGAACCCTTCCTTTCTCTAGCTCCTTTCCCTGCTCCCAATCCTAAATAAAATCTACCCCAGCATGAGGCAAGGGAAGAACCGGTACCAGCTCCTGCTGGGGTGCAATGAAACACTACTTATGCAGCTGCAGGCATCAGTGGAGAAGGCTGGAGGGGGAGGCAGGTGTTTGGGGGGACCTGGAGACCATTTCAGGGAGGCATTTTCTTGGTTTGCTGACGCGAAGACCGGCTTCTACCTGGAAGCCCAAAGCCCTCCAGGATCTGGGCTGGGGTTGCCCTTCCTTGCATGCTCAGCTCCGTCTCCCCTCCCGACAGTGGCTCACCCCTCCAGGGGGAATCGATCGTCAGGGAGAGGAGATATCTGAGCAGAAAATGACCCCAGACCTAGCAGCACAGGCTGATGGGGAGGTCAAAGGTCGCTTCTGAAGGAACAGTGGCAGGCCCAGAAGGCGTCACCCCCGTGCTCCTGGCTTTCACAGAGGAACACGCCGGGGCTGCTGTGCAGACAGGAAATGAGAGGGTCCCGGCTGCGAGGACGACAGAGGATGCTCCCGCGCTTGGGCTCCCTGCCGGCACCATGGCTGAAGTGACTGATGCATCCATCAGGGGTGGCCTGGGCACAGCCTTGAAATCCTCCCCAGACAGTGCTCGGGGTAGCACCTGCGGTCAAAAGACAATGCGGGAATGAAATCTGTGCCATCCCTTGTCTGGACCATCTGGAAGGACAAACATCCGCACATTCTCAACAGGGCTGCCTTTGACCTCCATGGCCGACCTGACTGACAGTTCTCCTGTCCTTCCCACTTCCGGTGAGTAGGGTGAGAATGACTCCGAGAAGCACTCGAGCCACACTACTCTGGGCATTTGGAAACCTTCCTGAGCCTCCTGCAGATAGGGGCAGTGAGGCCGGCCAAGGGCAGCCTGGATGGCATCGTTCCATGGCCTTTGTCCTCTCCTTACAGTTAAAATAAAATCCTGCTGGTTTGAGGTCTTGGCTTGAAAGGCTACTGGCCAGAGGAGGAAGTTGGGAGTGCTCACAGGACCATTTGGGAAGTATTTATCATTGAAGGATGCCATCGTACCTGCAATATTTTGGAATCGGCCATCTCTCTCCAAATTACATGTGCATCCTGTCTTTAAAAATATGCTGCGTCAGGCCAGGCACAATGGCTCACGCCTGTAATCCCAGCACTTTGGGAGGCCAAGGTGGGTGGATCACCTAAGGTCAGGAGTTCAAGACCAGCCTGGCCAACATAGTGAAACCCTGTCTCTACAAAAATACAAAGATTAGCCGGGCATGATGGTGGGTGCCTGTAATCCCAGCTACTCAGGAGGCTGAGGCAGGAGAATTGCTTGAACCCAGGAGGTAGAAGTTGCAGTGACCGAGGTTGTGCCACTGCACTCCAGGCTAGGCAACAGAGCAAGACTCCATCTCAAAAAAAAAAAAAAAATGCTGCATCAAAATTCAAAGTTTTGATGCCTCCTTCAGAAGTTTACTTTCTAAAAAGAATCATTGTTTTCCTTGAAATAACTATCTTCCAGCACACCTGTAAAGTGTATTGATAGCTGCTGGTTACCACACAAGTTGCACAGAGTAAGCAAACTCA
Organism: Homo sapiens; assembly: GCF_000001405.40. Taxonomy (NCBI): domain Eukaryota; kingdom Metazoa; phylum Chordata; class Mammalia; order Primates; family Hominidae; genus Homo; species Homo sapiens. The sequence goes on from NC_000006.12 coordinate 163,344,538, forward strand.
GCAACTGCCTGTGTTGACTTACTTCCCCAAAGCCAGGTTGGGAAATAGGGCAGCCCACTGCATATTCAGACCCCCAGCTTGAACATATGTTTGGAAAAAAGGAAGGGAAAGTTTCCCCAGCGTTTGGTGTTTTGGGTTCCTCAGGTTCCAGCCTGGGGCCGGCTGATTGCTCCCCACCTCCTCCGTGGCGCAAGGCGAGGCCTCTTTCCTTGTGCGCCCAGCCGCCCGTCTCCCATCCCAAGGTCAGGCCTGGAGTTCCATAGAGAATTCAGAAGCTTTCTCCATCTGTAATGCACTCAGGGCCCAGAAATCACTCTGGTCAGTTAGCGTTTCCAAGCTCATTCCCAGCTGCATCAGCGTGTCCATCGAAGGACAGAGTGGGAAGCGGCTCCCTGTGCAGAGAGGGAGGGCAGGAGACTTCCTGGGGGACGACACCTGTAAGAGATAAAGCGGAGGATCAGGCAAGGAAAGCCTCAAAGTGCGGTGCAGATCCGACCAAGTCTCGGCCAACCCAGTGAGGGGCCCTGGAGCTAGATGCCCATTGGAGGAATCCAGGGATGAGCTGGGACATCCAGGTCCCCAGACCTCGTGGCTCCACTGAGCTCCATCTGACAGGGGCAGCCCAGGAAGAGTGTGGCTGTGGCCTAGAGCTTAGAGCTGAGCAGGTTGTGGAGGTGCCAGCAGCTTTTTGAAGGATGATGTGGCCATCCCAGGGGTGCAGGTCCACAGCCACCACAGCCAAGACATTTTTGGGGGTGTGTGCGTGTGTTTTGTTTTGCTGCTTTTTAAGTTTCTTTCTAAAAAGGAACCATCTTCTCCCCTCCTTGCCTTTGGCCATTAATGGGAGCCAATGCAACCCAGGTGTCCCTCCTCAGCCACATCCAGCCAGTGCCACTTCTGCTTCAAAGTACGGACAGAATCAAAGTACGTTGAAAATTAGGCTCAGGGCCGGGTGTGGTGGCTCATGCCTGTAATCCCAGCACTTTGGGAGGCCAAGGCAGGCACATTGCCTGAGTTCAAGAGTTCAAGACCAGCCTGGCCAACATGGCAAAACCTTGTCTATATTAAAAATACAAAAAATTAGCCAGGCATGGTGGCAGGTGCCTGTAATCCCAGCTACTCAGGAGGCTGAGGCAAGAAAATTGCTTGAACCCGGGAGGGAGAGGTTGCAGTGAACCGAGATTGCGCCGCCGCACTCCAGCCTGGGCGACGGAGTGAGACTGTCTCAACAAAAAAAGAAAGAAAGAAAGAAAATTAAGCTCAACTCCTAACTGCATCCAGGGAGGGAATCCTAGCTCAGCCTCAGAGGGGATGGGCTCCTCCCCAGTGCAGAGAAGCCCCTACATCAGCCCAGACCGTAGAAAGGAGAAGACAGCAGGAATTCTGGGAATCTTTCTTAGTGTGCAAAAGGGGCCACCTCCATGCAATTCAGGCATGGGGGCCAGGGCAGGTCCACAAAGCCTTGGCCACCTGTGAAGACCAGAAGCCCTGGCCTCGCTGGGGCCACTGAGTCAGGCTCATGGTCCTCGCCCCATTCCCCTCCAGCAGCCCTGTGGCTCCACCTCCAGCCTCCCATCGTTGAGACACAAGGACAGGGATCCACGCCATGAATCAGCTCGAGGGCTTCTTGGCTGCACAGGCCGAACCCTCAGGTCTGAACATCCCTAAAAATAAGGGCTGGTGTCAAGAGGTGGCAGAGAGAAACCCTGACACGGACACAGAAGGGAAAAGCACAGCCCAGGAGCCCCTTTCACATCAAAGCTTCTTTTTCTGGGGATGCCGAGGAACAGAGTACAGGCAAACGGTGCCCTTCACCTTCAGAAATACCCCGATATGCCTACTTTCCAGTTGAGATGACACAGCAGGAAACTTGAAAACTTAGTTTCTTCTGGTTGGAAGGCTCCTCCCGGCCACATGCCCACCGTCCAGTTCCCGCTCCCTCAGTGCCAGGCAGTCCAGAGGCTCCAGGGGTTCGGCTTGGACATAACCGGAGCTCCTCCGACTCCCCAGGCAAGCACTCTGTCATTGTCTTCCAGACTGTTCTCACAGATGCCCCGCAAAAGAGCACAAAAGCAGCCGCCAGAGGCCTGGAGCCCCGCCAAGAGGACAGGGCCCCCGGGACAGAGGGACAGAGGGGGGCTGTGCCCAGGTGGCCCTGAGGCTGCCCAGGACTCACTGGCTCCTGCTGCTCCATCCACACAGCAGACAGAGAAGCTTCCAGTCGGCAAAGGGCTGGGAACGCTGCAGCGCCGGCGCTCGGAATATTTGGATTTTCTGAATGTTAACACACTGGAAGCTCCTAAGGCAGCCAAGAGGCTATGAGCTCAAAAGCTTTGTGAGAGCTTTTCTCGGAGAGCTCGTTAATGTGGTCATTTAATGGCATAGTCTTGAATCCGAATCCTTAACTGGAGCTTTAAATAGGACTGATAAGTGCTCCATAGGCTTTGGGGAAGCGGATCAGGCCCATGTGCCCTCCTTGTCCAGGGGCACTGTTTGCAAAGACCACATGTGGGGCCAGGGCACAGGGGGAGGAGACCCACAGGCCAGGGCTGGGCAATGCGGATCTTGGCATTAAAAGCACAGGCCGGGTAGGATGGCTCCGTGTCCAGAGAGCGGCTTAGTGGAGTGGTAAGAGGCACATTCCGATTGCCTCGCTCCCTGGAGCTGCCTCCAGCACTACCATTAACTTGGATAAATCCCATAAATTCACCCGACCATGAGCACAAGTGCTGCTCAACCCACCCAGCCACCCCACCCGCAGGCCAAAAATACGAGGCAGCACTTGCCTAGTGACTCACATCCTCTGCCTGGGCCCCGCCCCTCCTGCCTATAGTCCTGCTTCGTGCGACCTTCAGGGAATATATAGAGTTGGGGGAGATTTCTCAGGATATTTTTGGGAGACAGCTGTTTGTGATTCAACTTGACAGTTATGGGTGGCTATGGCCAAAAGGGGGCTGGGCGCGGAAACTAGAGCTGGGGAACGTGGGCAGGGAACCGGTGGACGTGGAATTCCCAGTATAATGTTGCCTTATATACACTTACTAAGCGCATGGATGGGTGAATGAATAAGTGAAGGATTGACTTCTCTATCTGCCTTAGAGGGTGGAGTTGAGGTCAACCAAATCCTACTCAGAAATTTCAGACACGAAATATCAGATCCTAAATGAAGAATTCCTCTTCTGCAGTGTTCACGGCATGGCACGTGGTGGCCGCCACAGAATGATTCTCCCCTGTAATCGGTTTCATCCCCAAACCTTGGTGAGATGTAAACCTGCTCCTCCAGGCCTTGACTTCCGCAGTTGGGCCAAAATGTGTTTCCTGAGACTGTGTCCCCACTCGATCCTGAAATGTTCACTGCTTTCATGGGGGGAAATGAAGGAGGGGGATCTTGTTCAAACAAGATTGGGAAACACTATACACTACATTTCCCTCTTGGATTTTACAACATTCATTAACACTGAAGACGGAAAAGTCCTGCAATAAAGAAACCTGGTTTGTTTTTTTTATTTAACCCAACATGTTCCAAATTTACTTGTCCAAGAAGAACACATTTTTGCAAAGTCTCGGTGTGGTAGAGAGAACGATGCCCCCTCCTCCACCAAAGACGTCCACGTCCTAATCCCCAGAACCTGTGAATACCTTACCTGGCAAAAGGAATTTTGTCAGTGTGATTCTGTGAAGGATTTGGGGATGGAGGGATTGTCCTGGATGATTCAGGTGGGCCTAATCTACTCACAAGGATCTTTAAGAGAGAGGCAAGAAGATTAAAGTCAAAAATGACAGGACGATGACTACAGGACAAGTTTTGAAGAGGAAGAGGCCACAAGTCAAAGAATGTGGGTGGCCTCTAGAAGCTGGAAAAATCAGGGAAATGGATTCTCCTGTGGCATCTCTGCAAGGAACACAGCCCTGCTGACACCTTGATTTTAGGACCTATTTCAGAGTTCTGACCTCCAGAATTCTAAGAGAACCCATTTGTGTTGGTTTGAGCTACTAAGTTTGTGGCAATTTGTTACGGCAGCCATAGGAAATACGTATTGATTACTAGAATTTGGGAAGTGAGGACACCCCTGCTTAATGATCACACACTGTAAATATGTGTCCCCAGCAGCCCATCTGCTTCTCAGCTTCAGGCCCTCCTGGAGTTTGTGTTTGTGGATATGGTAAAAAGCTGTTGAAGGATCGCATCCTTGAATAAATCAGTGTCTGTTATTACCTGTTTTTCTCAAAGCTGGTCCCATAGAGCTGGGACTAACGGGCTGAGCTTCTGTTTTCATGGCTGGCCCAACACAAAACTGTGAAAAGTCTCCTCTGAGGGGACACAGCTGGGAAGAGCACATGCCAATGTTCTGCCCAGGAGTGATGAGTCTCTAAGAGTTAAGGGCCCTGCTGTGAACATCCTGACCTTCTCAAAGTTCAGGGACAAATCTAATTAAAGAGGCACTGTCACACTTCTCAGCCTTCTCCACAGAATCCTTTGGGAAACCAGTTCTATGTCAGTGTTTCGGGCCAAGAATCAAAGTGACCAAGATTCTCAGAACAAGCCCCTGATGGATGTTTTGATGTAAAGGTCAGAGAGGTTGAAAAACAAAGTGTAAGAAGCATAAAACCATCCTGCCAAAAGTTTTGCAAAGGAGACCTGCATCCGAAATGAAATTGCTGAGTCAGAAGAATACCTCCAAATTCTTTGTTCTTCACCTGTTGGGTCTTTAATACAGAAATTCAGGAGTTTGTTGAAACCCATAGTTCACTTGCTTTGGAAGCAGTTACAATGTACTGTTCTCCAGGGAACATCCACCCGAGTGACACAGTACGCAGTGTCACACACAGGCCCCATTGTGCGCCTGCCCCCAAGTCTCTGGGTTCATTGTTTCCTTTGGAACATTCGCCCCAACCTCCACGCATCCAAGGCCTGCTGTCTCCAAGGCCTGTGCCTCCAATAGGCTGCCCTGGCTCACCAACCAGAAACAATCTTTGGCTCCCTAGAGCAGTGAGTCACCCAGGCCCTGGTCTCTCTGGGGGTGCCTCAGTTCTGTGCATGCCCTGCCTCCTTCCTCTGGTCCTATGTCCAGGGAGGGTTTGTCCTCATCCGGATCCTTTGCATTGCACCTACCAGGAACACAGTCTACTTTATGAAGGAAACATGCTCAAAGCATTCCGGTTCTTTCCGAGTCCCAGCAAAGGCTTTGCTGCCTGGCTGCACAGCGTCTCTTATATTTGTCTCCCTGAGTGCATTGGTTTCCTTGGGCTGTCCTAGCAAAGTACCCTGGACTCAGTGGTTTAAATGACAGAACTGTCCCGGGTCTGGAGGTTGGAAGTCCCAGGCCAAGGTGCAAGTGGGGCTGGTTCCTGCTGAGCCCCGAGGAAGGCACGGCCCAGGCCTCCGCCTGGCTCCTAGGGATGGCCAGCAGTCTTTGGCATTCCTTGGCTTGTAGAAGCATCACCCTGGGGTCTGTCTTCCTCTTCACACATCATCTCACTGCATGCGGATCTGTGTCCACATTTCTTCTTTCTATAGGACACCAGGCATAGTGGATTAGGGGCCCACCTTACTCCTGCATGACCTCATCCTAACTTAACTAATTATACCTGCAGCAGCCCTAGATCCCCATAAGGTCCCCATCTGAGGTACTGGGGGTTAGGACAACATACGCATTTGGCAGAGGGCAGGAAGGGGAACATAATTCAACCCGTGACACTTTGTAACAGAACCCTCTTTTTGATTGAGGTGGCAATGTGGCCAGCCAGAAATGCTTCTCAAAACTCAGCTCTGGCTGGGCGTTGTGGCTCATGCCTGTAATCCCAGCACTTTGGGAGGCCAAGGCAGGTGGATCACTTGAAGCCAGGAGTTTGAGACCAGCCTGGGCAACATGGCAAAACCCCATCTCTACAAAAATTAGCCAGACATAATGGCACGCAACTGTGGTCCTAGTTACTTAGAGGTTGAAGTGGGATAATTGCTTGAGCCCGGGAGGGTGAGGCTGCAATGAGCTGTAACTGCACCACTACACTCCAGCCTGGGCGACAGAGTGAGACCCTATCTCAAAACAAACAAACAAACAAACGAAAACCCAGCTCTAACAAATGAGATGTAAGTGAAATGCTATTGGGTGGGGCTTCTGGAAAAAAGACTCGTGTACCTCTTCCCCCTTGCCCCTTCTTCCCTCCTCAGCATGGATGTGATTCAGGAGGCAGAGCAGCCACAATGAGGCTGAAGCCACAAGCTATAAATGGAGGCAGAAGCCAGAAGGAATCCAGGCTCAGGATGACTTTTTTGAGCCACTACACTATCTCTAAACTAATTCCTTTTCACCTGAGAAAAATAAACTTTTCTTCATTTGAGTCAGTGGTTGTCAACCAGGAACAATTTCCTGCCCCCAGGAGACATGTGGCAATGTATGGAGACATTTTTGGTTGTCACCATTAGGGGTGGTCCTACTGGTATCTGGTGGGTGGAGGCAGGGATGCTCCTTAATGCCCTGCGGCGCACAGGACAGCCCCCAGAACAAAGAATTATCAAGCCCCACATGCAATCGTGCTGTGGTGGAGAGACCCTTGCTGAAGTCACTGCTGACAGGTTTTTATACATGAAATCCAAACAGACAGAGGGAGTGCAGCAGGGCCAGAAGAAGAACTGGCAGCAGGAACTGGAAACATTGGGAATGAAACTGGATTTTCTCCTGTTCTCCGGGGTCACCCAGCCTCCCCTTTCCGTTTCTCTCTGCAAGCCTATGCTATTCTTTTCTCTGCTGAGCAGGGCTCTTTGCTCCTTGGTAAGTCCGTAGCCAAATGCAATGTTCCTGCATCCCCTGAGTGTATGTGTCCTCTGTTGAAACTGCAGTTGAAGCTGACTTGTATCTCTGAATCCAGATGCCTAATTCCTGGAATACAGAGTTTGACTGGCCCATCTTGAGTCAGGTAAATTAACTTTGCTTGGGGAAGCAGGTCATGTAGCTAAATGTGGCTGCTATGTCCCTGGCTTAGGGGGTGGAAGGAGAGGCTAGAAGAAGGAGTTTGCTAAAAATGGGGGTCACTGGCTGAGAAGGCTGCCCAGTAGGTGTCTTCTTCAAGGAGGGACACAATTTCTCAGTTTTTATTCTTCCTAGTGCCCAGCACAGTGCCTTACAAACAGTAAGTGCTCAGTGAACAATTGAGGGGTGGTTGAGATGAGAAGAAAATAGCAAAATGCTCTGTATCTGAGGCCCTGTGGCATCATATCATTTATCCAGGAGCCCCAGGTGCTGGATGGTTAGGAAGGCCCCTCTTCCCGATCAGTCTACAAATATTGGTCCAGTACCATATGGTAAGTGCCTTCCATGCACACCTGCTCCACATATATTTACTATTTTTTTTCTGGGTTTCCAGAATTCTTTGACACCTGTAGCATATTTACTGTAGTTTATTATTATTATTTTTTTACACATTGACATTTGGACCCAGTGTTTCAAATGTAAAACTCCTTACCTAGAAAGTTATCAGAAGTTAAATAAAAATACAGGCTGGGCTCAGTGACTTTCGCCTGTAATCCCAGCACTTTCGGAGGCGGGTGGATCGCTTGAGCTCAGGAGTTCAGCCTACGCAAAAACTCCGTCTCTAAAAAAAGTACAAAAATTAGCTGGGTGTGGTGGCGCATGCCTGTAATCCCAACTACTCGGGAGGCTGAGGCAGGAGGATTGCTCAAACCCAGGAGGCGGAGGTTGCACTGACCCAGATCAGCCACTGCACTCCAGCCTGGGTGACAGAGCGAGATCCTGACTCCAAAAAACAAAGAATACAATGAGCATATTATTTGCTAACAACTAACATTGTTTAAAGATAAATGTATCCCCTGTCTCTCAGCTCTTTGGGCACTGTAAATATTTTGTAATTTAGTCTTTAAGCCCCTCCCCCCTGCCCACTTCCACCCGCCCAGCTCCTCTGGGGCCAGGCCTCTTCCTTTCTGCTCTCACACCACCCCTCTAAACTGGTCTGTCAGTCTGTCCGGTTGTCAGGGCTGACTGGCTGACTTGATAAACTTGTTCCACCAAAGGCGTTTCCCCCTGGGCAATTCGTTTCTTTCCCAACTCTCTCCCCGCAGACCCTGGAGGATGGTTTGTGTCTTAACAGGAGCATTCCAAGGACAAAATCTAATGACGCAGTGGTGGCAGGAGTTTTGTTCATGGACACAGGTCAGTGGGGAAGAGCATTTTAATGTAGGGCCTTTCCCAGCAGTCACCAAATCTTCATAGTAATCCCCACGAGTTGAGCACCTCCATGTGCCAGACACTATGATATGCACTTACAGTGGCACAGCCTCACAAACACCCTAAAAGATGGACATTAGCATCTGCATTTTGCAAATAGGAGCAGAGGGTCACAGAGCTTAAACAATGTTCTTCCTCAAGGCAGCAAAACAAATAAGAACCAGCCCTGAGGTCCAAACCCGGAGTCTTTTCTTTCAACCCGTGCAACCTCCCTACCCCTCCTTATATCCCATTGGCCTCTCACCGTGTTCTACGAGACCACAGCCCTTCGAGAGTAGACATGCATGTCCCCAGCCAGCCCAGAAGGAGATCACAGTAGCTACTTCCAGGTGGCGGAGGAAGGGCCCTGTCAGCCACAGGCCTTCTGCAGTCTCCCTCCTTGTCTCTCATGGACAGTCCCTGGAGGAACTGCTGCGTCCATGGCCACATCCCAATGTCCCATCTGCAGTTACCAAGAGAAGACTTGCTAAGATGTTCAGGGAAGAAAGGACATCATTCAGTGCTAGAACAGATTCGCCAACACCACAGCTCTTCTCCTGCCTCTGTGTCTCAACATTCAGACTGAAACTCTGAGTTCTGCAGCCCAGGAAGAGACTCCAGGAAACTGGGGGCCACTGTGCCTGCAGGCTCGTTTTCAGTCCCACCCCTCAGCCCTCCCAAGAAAATCCATAGAGAGTATCCTTCAGCATTTGTGACAGGGGAACCAGGGGACCCTCAGAATCAAAAACCCGTGGCCAGGCTGAAACCTCACACTTCACTTTCCCTAGAAATACCTACATTGAAAGAAGTTTTGCAAATCAAATCATAAGTATGTTGGAATTAATGATATACTATTAAATCCACTGTGGTGGCAAAGTCTTGGAAAATGAACTTTGTGTAATTTTTAAAAACACACTTCAACTCATCTCTTTCTTTTCTTTCTTTTTTTTCTTTTCCTTTTTTTTTTTTTTTTTTAGGCACTGGCACGATCTCATCTCACTGCAGCCTCCACCACCAGGGTTCAAGCAATTCTCCTGCCTCAGCCTCCCTAGTAGCTGGGATTATAGGCGTGCACCACCATGCCCAGCTAATTTTTGTATTTTTAGTAGAGATGGGGTTTCGCCACGTTGGCCAGGCTGGTCTTGAACTCCTGACCTGAGGTTATCTGCCCGCCTTGGCCTCTCAAAGTGCTTGGATTACAGGCGTGAGCCACCACACCGGGCCGTCACCTCATTCTCTTTACTTTCTATACCATCCTCTGAATGTTTGAAGGTGAGGCACATTCTCAGGCCAAAAATCTTTGCCAAAACCCAAGTTTAAAAAAACTAAGAAAAATTTGGTAAACTGGAATTCCTGACCTTTCCTAAACATCGTCAGCAATGAGTCTCAGCCCTTATCTTTCTGCCTGAAGAGCTCAGGGCTCTTCAGGGTCAGGAGTGAGGAAACCGGAAGAGGATGAAGAATGCGGGGTGCTAATGAGATCACTTCTGTCCTGTAGTTGGAAACCCGGCAAGAGTCAGAAGATCTGGGGCAAGAAATGAACCGAAATCTTCACTGAGTGCAGCAGCCACAAGCTTGATGACAGAGCCTGTGTATTTCACTCCAAGGCTGCACGTGTCTGTAAGAACGGGCCTCGCCCATCTTATGCAATTTGCATAGGAATCTGAGGAATATCAGCAACTCTATACAATAACTAAACAAATTTTTTTCAGAGTAAAAATTTGTTATGGAGCTTAAATAAAGACTGACAAAACATTGCATTCCTTTTTCCTTGAGCTTCTTTCAGACTAGCGGGCATCAGAATGTATAATAATGGAGCTCTCTTTGGAAAATGGTGACAAGGCTAAGGTTTCTGATTATAGCTACAAATGCTTTAAATAGCGATCATAATTAATTATTAAGAGACGTAGTCTTCCTTTACACATAGAAGACTAAAACCTTAAGGAAAAAATAGGAGATGTCGGTACATGATCTCTTCTAAGGCACTAGAGCTTTACGTGGGATTAATGTCGGTCAGCGTTTTAGGAATGGAGATGTCACTTTTGAGGAAGTGTCTCCAGGAGGTGTACTTGCCCTCACAAAGTCATGATGAAGGAAATGCTGTGCTTTTCTTTGAACTGGTGCTACCCAATGCTGGGGGAAGAGGAGGAAGATCAGACACTTGCTCCGTGTATCTCCTCTCTGTGGTTTGCAGAAGACATGTGCCAGACACAGGAGAAACTGTCTACTCATTAGCAGAGACACTAAAGGGTCTAGACGGTGCCCAACGGGGGTGGCATGTGGTATATAAAGGGGTGAAGAAAGGAATGCAGCTTGCTAGATTCATTTCCCTTTTCGATTTTCGGCAGGCTGACTCTCATTTCCCCAAAGGACATGCAGAGTTGGCATGGAGGCTCCCAGCCTGGCCGGCCCCTGGCAGGAGCTGTGGACAAAACTCTGAAATGTGGGGCTAAATGTTCAGAAACAGCAAATGCTGATAACTCCTCCAGACCTGCTGGCATTCTGCCTCCTGGCCACTCACTCCAACAGCGTGGGAGGACCGGGTAGGGGACAGACTGAGGGAAGCCTGTGCAGGCATTCATGTGTGCAGAAGTACTGGTTTGCACACGCATCTGCGTGTGGCTGTGTAGGCTGTGCTGTGTTAGCAAGAAGAAAGAAGATCACGGAGAGCATTCAGACGCCCTTCAGCTGGACATTCAGCTTTTTCTTCTTCTTCTTTTTCTTCTTCTTCTTTTTCTTCTTCTTCTTCTTCTTCTTTTTTTTTTTTTTTTTTTTTTTTTTGCCTGCTTGGCTGCAAAAGTCCAGAGGAAGTGAATCCACACTTGCTGATGACCTCATTTCCACCGCTTCCCAGCAACCCCGCCAGCCTCTCAGGGGGAGGCTTATTCAGCCAGCCACTGGGGACTGCAGGGAATGGAGACTGGGGAGAGCAGGCCTGCAGCTGCACCCCAATTCCACTCCGCCAACCCCTACTCCCACCTCTCCCATCACGGGTTGCAGCTGGCCTCGTCATTCTTAAGAAAAGGGACTCAGGTGATAGTCAGACCGAGTGATGAGGGATCTAAGCAGACAGGATCCAGCCGACAGGCCGTGGTTGTAAGTTCTGTGCAGAGAGACTGGACTGTGACAGGAACAAGTTTCCTGTGAGCATGCCATGGAAATTAGTCACCCAACAGAATCAGCAAAACATCTATTATTGATGATATTTGCCAAACTGGAGACAAATTGAGTGCTTTGTCCTGAACCAGGGATGATGATATGTGACTTTTATTAAATCAATAGATCAATTTAAAGCCAATAAGTGAACTTCCAGAGATTGATCAAAGCCATGGATAACCCAGGGAGCTGAAAGGTCAACTCCCCACGAAACAGCAGCTTGTGAACAGCGGAGACAGCCTGTGACTTTGCAGAAAGTTAAACACCGCATTCTTTTCCTTTCTCCTCTTATTCCTTCAGTTTCAGAGAAAAGTAGAAACACGCTGTATTGTGCAGCTATGTATGTGGCACGTGCATTGTTTAAAAATGTCATAGGCACTGCTGGACCCTGGGGAGAGAAACTCTGTGACGTTCAAGTGCTTTACACCAACAAGGCCCCTCCAGGCACATTCCCACGTCCTTCAATATTCATATTTGTAATTTGTCGCCCTTATACAGATTAGAAAGTTGAGGTTCCTGGAGGGGCTAAGTGACCATGCTTGAAATGGGAGGGAGAAACGTGAAGCACAGATGTGGGTATGATTCACAAACTTGCTGCCAAGGAAGGCCACAGTGTTGCACACAGGCAGGAGTTCCCCGCGGGCCTGCACTGGATCGGAAGCTGCAGACTTAGAATCGCCTCCGGGTTGGCCCCGCCCCCTCCTGCTTGGCCCCGCCCCCTCCTGCTCCCCGCCCGGTGCCACCCTCCTCCCCAGGCCTCTAGGGTAGAGCCAGCTGGGAACTGTTTCTCTACATACACACAGCACTTGTGTGCACACACACAGAAACACATGCTCACACACACACAGACACACACACGCGCACACGCAAACACATAAACACACACTCCTACATATCACACACTTGCATGCATCATCACACACTCCCATAATCACACACACACACACTCACACACACAAAACCACATAAAAACACACATACACACTCACACCCACAAAACCACATAAAAACACACATACACACTCTCACGCACAAAATCACATTCATACACCATAGATATACACACTAACACACACACAAATACATAACTACATACACACAATCACACATTCACAGACATCATCACACACATACAGACTAACATATACATAAACACGCATAAACACACACATAAAAACATAACACACGCACATAAACATACACACAGAGACACTCATGCACAGACACATAAACACACACTCGCAGACATACACACACAAAAACACACACAGAGACACCCTCATACACTCACACACATAAACACACACAGACACTCATGCACTCTCACAGTAAACACTCCCACACACAGACACTCACGAACACACTCTGTCACACACAGAGAACACAGGGCCATCCCAGCAGCACTCAGTGAAGACTGCGGGGCTGCATCCCGCTCCTCACGCTCACCCCATCCCGCCCTCCTGCGCAGCAGGCTCAGGTCACAATGCAGAGATTGAAAAACGCCATTTTCATGTGAACATTCAGAGAGGAACAGAGAATGTTAGTACAGGACACACAGTGGCAATACTGAAATGAGAAAAAGTACTAGATTCTGCTGGGCATGGTGGCTCATGCCTGCAATCCCAGCCCTTTGGAAGTCTGAGGTGGGTGGATAACTTCAGGTCAGGAGTTCAAGACAAGCCTGGCCAACATGGAAAAACCCCGCCTCCACTGAAAATACAAAAATTAGCTGGGTGAGGTGGCGCATGCCTGTAATCCCAGCTACTAGGGAGGCTGAGGCAGGAGAATCGCTTGAATCCGGGGGGTGGAGGTTGCAGTGAGCCGAGATTGCGCCACTGCACTCCAGCCTGGGCAACAGGAGTGAGACTCCGTCTCAAAAATAAATAAATAAATAAATAAATAAATAAATAAATAAATAAATAAATGAAAAAGTACTAGATTCTGAGAATGGCCTTTCTGTATATTAAAGGAAAAGACATTGCTTGAGGGAGCTTGGTAAGAGTGGCGACCAATCGTGAAGAAGAAAAGGAAATACCATGACAGCTTCTTTTTTTGAGACACAGTCTTGCTCTGTCGCCCGGGCTGGAATGCAGTGGCGCCATCTCTGCTCACCGCAACTTCTGCCTCCCAGGTTCAAGCGAGTCTCCTGCCCCACCCTCCTGAGTAGCTGGGATTACAGGTGCGTGCCACCATGCCCGACTAATTTTTGTATTTTTAGTAAAGACGAGGTTTCACCATGTTGACCTGGCTGGTCTCGAACTCCTGACCTCAGGCGATCCGCCCACCTCGGCCTCCCAAAGTGCTGGGATTACAGGCATGAACCACTGCGCCCGGCCAGACAGCTTCTTTTAAAGCTTGTATCTGGAGAAGGGTATATCTTTGAAGTGTGGGTTGGGTTTACCAAGTACAAACTGTGCTCTGAAAACTTAAAGGCTTTTTTGATAGTGTTATGGAACTCACAGATCAAGGGCACAATGTCGATATTCTATTTCATGCTTGTTCGGCAGGGCCTCTCCTATGGGGCCTTGTGGGGCTCTCTTTGCACAGTTAGCTCACGTTGGCTTGGGTGCATCTCAGGCTGGTGGATCAGGCCCTCAGGTGAGAGGAGGCCACGTGGGTGCTGATCACGCAGACAGTGTGAGTCCTGGTGTCCTGAAGAGATGGCTCCAGGGGCACTGCAGGGTCTGCGTTTGAAACTGTCTACTGTAGAGAAAGATCAAATCCTGATCAGGCAGCACCAACTTTCAGTCAGTCCACCGTGAAGGTCGCACATTTAACAAACTGAAAAATTAACATTTTTAACTGGGCACTCATTGTGTCAAGTAACACTTCATCAAGCTTCGTGTTTAGAAGAAAAGTTGTTCAATTAACACTTTACCGAACTCCTTGTGTATAAATAAGAAGTTGTTAAAGGACTCAGAGCCGGAACCCACAAAGCCTACATTCAAATAAGGTACCGAAAACAAGAATTACAGAAACAGAAGAAACATATTCTTTATGGCTGTTCAGAAATGTCAAGGAGTCGCTAAAATAGCTGGGGTGATGTGGAGGCCTCAAGACAATTTGAATCAAAAGCCTCTTCAAGGAGTGTGAAGAAGAGTGGGAGGGATGTGAGTTTGTGTCCAGGAGAAAGGAGGGAATGCCAAACAGAACATCTCGCATGAAGCAAGCTGAGAGGCAAGAGTGGCAAGTGCCCCGTGACAGGACGAGTTTGGGGAGAAGACAGAAGAGCCAGCTTGGACTTCATCTGCACCTTAGGTGGGAAGGGACTCCAGTGGAGAGCTGTGGAGGTCTGGGCCAAGAGCTGCAGGTTTTATTTGAATGGAAATGACAGACATTGAGACTTCCAAGGAAAATGGTCCAAGGGCCAGGGAAGTTCTGCGGACACAGGATGAGGGAGGGCGTCACCTTCGGAAGTTCTGGAAGTGGAATCACCTGCTGTGCGAATGGGAGATGGAAACAGGTGACGGGAAGCCGCTTCACCGGCGGGTCAGAGACGGGCTGAATCCTGGGGACAAAAGAAACTCTCAGATAGCCCAGAAGTTATTAGTCCAGGCTTCAGGGGTGGCAGGAGTCTGGTAATAGAGACACAGAGAAAAGATGGGTGCACGAGAGCAGCCTAATGCGGATCTTGGATTTAGATGTGTATAGCTTGAAATGCGAGTGGATTTCTAAGTGGAGATTTCCTACCCCCGCCCCCCTGCCAAAAAAGTTATAAATTACGGCTGGGCTCAGTGTAGGTGAGTACAGTAGAAACCATGGCCTTGGAAGTACCAGGCTCTGGCACTGTGTTTGCCCTCACACTGTGGCAGAAGAGACTTGGGTGCCCAAGACACAGCTTCGACAGCTGCGGAAGCCCAGCCTGGGGGCTTGCCTAGCCCACAAGTAGGAAGATCCGTGGTCGATCCAATTCAGTGGAAGAATGCTGATTATTGCATTGATCCTTACTGTCAGAGGTCACCAGTAGAATTCCACTGGATTCTTGCTCTTGTCCTACAGGACAATTTTTGTTAAAAAAAAAAAAAAAAATATATATATATATATATATATATATATATATATACATTCTTTATGCTCCCTTCTCTCTCTCTCTCTCTTTTTGAGACAAGGTCTCACTCTGTTGTCCAGGCTGGAGTGCAACGGCACCATCTCAGCTCACTGCAGCCTCAAACTCCTGGGTCAAGTGATCCTCCCACCTCAGCCTCCCAAGTAGCTGGGACTACAGGTGTTCACCACCACACCCGGCTAATTTTTTAGATTTTTATAGAGACAGGGTCTCCCTGTGTTGCCCAGGCTGTTCTTGAACTCTTGGGCTCAAGCGATCTTTCCACCTCGGCCTCCCAAAGTGCTGGGATTATACACATGAGCCACCACACCCAGCTTCTTTTTATTTTTAATAATTTTGGAGGGAATAGTCTTAGATATACAGAATAATCATGAACATTCTACATTTGTTGTCATGTTTCCTTAGTCTCCCCTGCTCTGTGACTTCTCATCTTGTTTTTGGTGACCTTGACAATCTTGAGCACTACTGGTCAGTTACTGTGTAGAATGTCCCTCGACTTGTTTTTCTTTTCTGATGTTTTTCTCATGAATAGACTGCAGTTAATGGGTTTGGGAGGAAGATGCAGAGGTAAAGTGTCATTCTTGTCACGTCACACCAAGGGTACATGCTCTCTGTGTGGTTGGCCACTGATGACATCGGCCTTGGTCCTCTAGCTGAGGAAGTGTTTGCCAGGTTTGTCCAGAGTAGCTACTTTTTTCCTCCTCCCTACGCTATCTTTGGAAACATGTCACTAAGTCCAGCCACCCTCAGGGCACAGGTAGGGTGGTGGGTGAAATCACACTCCACAACTTGGACGGGAAATATCTATGTAAATAATTTGGAATTCTATTATAAGAAATATGTGTTCCTTCTCTCCCATTTATTTATTCAATCATGTATTTATGTCAATGTGAGCTCATATATTTGCTGTATTCTTTACGTTATGACACAGTACTATGTTAGTTTCTTTTTTGCTCAAATTCTTACAGCGTTGGCCATGGGGAGATTTTTCAGGTTGGCTCTTGCGCCCCTCTGACATGCCCCATCCTCGTGTTATTCAAGGGCTTTCTTGCTTTTTGCCACTTCAAGATCCTGCAGGCTCATCCTGTATTTTCCCTGACCCAGCCCTAGAATGAGCCATTTCTCCAAAGAGCCCTGGTTCCCCTCACTGGAGAATTGTGTTTGGAAACCAAGATGTGGGCTCAAGATGTGCTTGAGGCGGCTGCACTTCCTTGCTTCTAGGCCCTCTTGGCAGACAGAGCTAGACATCGATTCTGCACACCCATTGGTGTATACACACGGCTTCAATTATTTGTGTATTCGTCTCCTGGCATCTATACTAAGATACACTTGAGTTCACACCGATGTCTCTGACTTCAATCCAGCAGCCTCTCCCCTTCTGCATCTGCAACTTCCCTCTCCAGCGGGAAGAAAGCTGGCTTCCAGCATCTGCCACTCATTTACTTCTTTGCTTGACCTCAGTGTATATGTCAAGCTGACACAGAATTGCTAACCTGTACCCCATTGAGAACTTTCATCTGTGCTCTTGACACCCAAAATGTTCACATGTAAAAGCGTGAAGGCAGCATAAAGGCACATGAAAGAATCAAGATTCAAAAGGATTCCAGCGATCAACTAGAATAATGAATCCAAGTAAAAATGCCAATAAACACAAGACGCAAGCGTTCAAAAATAACTAAATGGCACAGGCAGAAAAGAATAGAGACCAAGTGAGAGGGGGAGAAGGGTGGAGGAATTTTTTTGACCCCAAGCTCAAGGTATGAGTTACTGCTAAAGACAGCCAAGGGATATGAGTCTGCAGTGATGAAAATAGAATATTCCAGTAAAAGAAAGAAAATGCCCCACTGGCCTGTGCACAGGTCAGACAACATCTCTACCGATGCATTTATATCCATCCTTTGAAAGGGTGTGTAGGAGGCCGGGCGTGATGGTTCACGCCTATAATCCCAGCATTTTGGGAGGCTGAGGAGGGCAGATCACCTGAGGTCAGGAGTTTGAGACCAGCCTGGGCGACATGATGAAACCCCGTCTCTACCAAAAAAAAAAAAAAAAAAAAACTAGCCAGGTGTAGTGGCGGGTGCCAGTAGTCCCAGCTACTTGGGAGGCTGAGGCAGGAGAATTGCTTGAACCTGGGAAGTGAAGATTGCAGTGAGCCAAGATTACACCACTGCACTCCAGCCTAGACTACAGAATGAGATCCTGTCCCAAAAAAAAAAAAAAAAAAAAAAAAGAAAAGAAAAGAAAAAAGAAAGGGTGTGTAGGAGAGAGAGAAGAGCTGTACAGGAGGGACAGGACCACACTCTCAAAAGACTAGCAGTGGTGAGATGTACCCTACCCCACTCCAGAGGACAGAACTGAGACCAGCGAGCCTAAAGGTCACTCCCTCCCTGATGGGGCTGAGCAAGGATGTGGCAACTGACCAGTCCCATACACTCCTGATTTGGGGGACAGCCCACTGTCTGCACAATTAAGATCCACAAGACCAGAGGGCAACACTAGGAGTCATACCCTAGAGAAAGCTTCAAGAAAAAGCTACAGAAGACAGTCCATCGGGGTGGTGAATGACAAAGTTTCAGTGAAAATGCAAATGAAGTGAGGAACCAAAATAAGGCAGGTCAAGGGACTAGGAAAGCTGAGATCAAGGGTCAGGGGGAGAAGTGGCCGGGAGGAGATGCCTGAGGATAAAAATCCCACCTTCTGTTCAATGCCAGCTATTGTTTGCCGGCAAGCTGTGTCTGCTTGAAGGGTACAGAGCAAAATGAGCATAATGAGGATGACGAGAAGACAGAGCTTGTTTGATTAGAAGATAAATTTCCTAACAATTACAGTTGTCAAAAAATAAAATCTAACCCCTATCCAGAGAGAGTTTCAAACAGAGTGGGACAGGCAACACTAGCAGTGGTGACTGCCAAAGACCATCTAGTGCAGACATGGCGTGACTGTTAGAGATCAGCACGTCCTGGCCGGAGGCACTCTGGGCTCTGTTGGGTTTGGAGGACAACTAAACCAGGGTGAACAGAGAGGGTCCCCAAGGAAGTAAATGATAATACAGATTCAAGATGCCTGGGATGAAATAGCTCAGATGCCATACGACACTGGAAACATGTATGATTTGACTTGGCATTAGAAATTGCTTTTGTTCTTTCTTTGACATACATATTTTTAATTTAAAAAGATAACCTCAGCTCTCTGGGCTCGAACCTAGTTGGCCGTAACATGGTTGAATGCACCAAGAGAGTTGGAATCGTTGATAAATACGGAACCCGCTAGAGTGCCTCCCTCTGGAAAACGGTGAAGAAAATCAAAATCAGCCAGCACGTCAAGTATACTTGCTCTTTCCATGATAAAATTGAGGTGAAGAGATGAGCTGTGGGGATCTGCACTGTGGTTGCTGCATGAAGACAGTAGCTGGCAGTGCCTGGACCTCTAACACCACTTCTGCTCTCACAAGAAAGTCCACCATCAGACAACTAAAGGATTAAAAGACCAGTAGACACTCCTCTCCTCTTTGAGACATCGCTAGCCTACAATAAATGGGTTAATTTATGTTAAAAAAATAAATAAATAAATAACCAGCTGGGCACGGTGGCTCACGCCTATAATCCTAGCACTTTGGGAGGCTGAGACTAGCGGATCACCTGAGGTCAGGAGTTCAAGACCAGCCTGGCCAAAATGGTGAAACTAAAATACACTAAAACTGTATTTTGTATTTTTGTACTAAAAACACAAAAAATTAGCTGAGCATGGTGGTGTGCACCTGTAATCTCAGCGACTCGGCAGGTTGAGGCGGGAGAATTGCTTGAAACCGGGGGAAGAAGTTGCAGTGAGCTGAGATGGAGCCATTGCACTCTAGCCTGGGCAACAAGAGTGAAACTCCATCTCAAAAAACAAACAAACAACAAAAATAAAAACCTTATAAAAACCCACACACTAAGTTGAGGCCAGGAGTCCAGAATTCTTTTTACGTATTATGTTTTTATTTTTTATTTTGAGAGACAGGCCTTGCTGTGTCACCCAGGCTGGATGGCAGTGGCACCGTCATAGCTCACTGCAGCCAGGAACTCCTTGCCTCGAGCGTTCCTCCCACCTCAGCCTCCTGAGTAGCTAGGACTACAGGTGTGCGACACCATGCCCAGTTAATTTTTTTTTTTATTTTTGTAGAGCCAGGTTCTCACTATATTGCCCAGGCTGGTGTTTCAAACTCCTGGCCTTGAGCGATCCTCCCACCTCGACCTCCCAAAGTGTCAGGATTATAGGCATGAGCCACCTCGCCCGATTAGGAGTCCAGAATTCTAATCCTGATTCAGGCATAGGCTTCTTGTGAGATCTCAGGCCAATTACTTGCTTCTCTAAACCTTGACTTCTCGAGCCATAAACTAAAGGGATTGGACCAGGAGATTTCTAAGGTCTCATCTAGTTTTGAAATTGTGTGAGAAGACAGTCCGCCACCCAAGACAAGACTGCATAGTGTCACTTTCCTAGAATGTAATGGAGCCCCTTTTCCAACCCTGGCTATAGTTCCTTAAATATCTTTTTTAGCAAAAGGAAAATGGATTGAAAAACACAAGACAGCCGTCTACATCTGACTCCCCACCAGGGACAGAGTTCAAATAGCGATGAGGAGAAAAAATATGAATGGATTCAAAGTTTACAAATAAAGGAGCCAAAAAAGTCACCTTAGATCTCTCACAGTCCTTCACAGTGGGTGCCATAGAGAGGCCGGGATGGACGAGAGGTGAGACTAGACATGATGTCAGCGTGCGTTTAGAAAGGAACGTGGCACACAGGCTGGCGCTATTTTGGCTTGCACGTGGAGAGACATCCTGTCACGAGATATTATATTCTGTGTGGGCACCTCCAAGTGCAGGAACCAGAAGGACTCCCGAGGGGTGACAAAAGGACAGAAAGCCAAGAACCAGCACCAGAGCTGACGTATGAGCAGGGTGAGCCCAAGCCTGGCACCTCAGAGGCGTACAGCCAGAATAAGTAACTCAGAATGAACAGTGGACGGGAGCGACTGGCAGGTGAGGAAATGCTTGATTTGTGAAATGTGAATACACGTACGTCCAGGGTGAGACCAGCCCGGTCAACAGATACACATTAGTCATAGGGAAACTGTAAGGCCAACTCCTGGACCAAGATTCTGAGCAAAAGATTTTAGATAAAAGTAAATGTATCCAGAATCACAAACAGAAAGTGCACACTGGTTACCGGGGAATGGTGAGATGATTTGCCAGAAGGATTACCAAGAGCACCATCAAAAACCATTCCATTTGCACGTGGTAGGAATAATCCTTCTCAAACCAGGAGCTTGGCCAGAGCTGCTTTGTGGTCCTTCCTGGTCTCCATAGGCCTATGCACGTCTCTAGAGTTGACCAACTGTGTGGTCAGGCTGTGGCAATGAGCAAGGAGGTGTTGGTGACTTGAAGAGCTCCTTCCTGACCTTGCAACTCTAGCATGTGGGGAAGGAATGAAAGAAAAGGCTTAGGTTTGGGAAAATTTGATCATTCTGTTAGTCTGTCGGCAAACTTCTTGAGCTTCTAAGGTGGACAAAATACTGAATTAATGAAGGGGTTGGAAAAAGAAAAGGAATGTTCTTTTGAAGCTCAAATCACAATATAATTAGTAACTGTAATAACTGTTAAAATAACAAAACAAAGAGATGTACAGAACTGATTTGCAAACATGATACATGCTTATTGGACATTCTGGGGTGCCCAGGGTGAGTTCAAACACAATGGAAGAGTTTTCCTTGGGAAGGAGTTTGGAAGGCTGAGGGTGGAAGCAGGCCTTTGTCAAGCACCTTGCAAGACCAGATGTCCTGTGTGTGGTCTTCTGTAACCCCAGGAGTCCTGGAAGCAAGGTAAGTAGGGTCAGTCCTGCTTTGCAGATGAGGGAACAGCCTCAGAGAAGTTAGCCACTTGCTCGCATTACAGCTAACGAGTGAAGGGGCACAGATTCAAATCCAGACTGGCTTCCCTGGGCAAGCCCCTCCCACCAATCTCCATGGCCACATGATTCACCTAAATGATGGGTCAGATAGAAATCGATTTTAGAATGTGCCAGCTGTGGACAATGGTAAATGAGAAGTTGAGAGATGCAAGCTGAGAAAGCTTCCCGTGGGAAGTCTATTTCGAATGCCACATTTGGCGAGCTCTGCCCATGGGCTGCGAGTTCACTGGCAGATTAGCCCTGATTCTTTTTAATTTTAATTTTTAAAAATTTGACAAATAATCATTGTACATATTCATGGGCGACATGGTGGTGTTTCAATACCTCTCATGCATAGTGATCAGATCAGGGTAATTAGCATAGGCAACATCTCAAACATTTATCATTTCTTTGGGTTGAGAGCGGTCAATATTCTTCTTCCAGCTGCTTGCAAGTACATAATATATTATTGCTCACTCTAGTCATCCTGCAGTAAGACAGAGCACTAGCCCTGGACTTGAGGAGAGCTTGGCACTGCCTTTCACAGGGCTTTCTTTTACTGCAGTGTTCTCAAGCAAGATCCGCCCGAGGACACGGGGGAAGCCTGGTGGGAAACACTGCGGGTGCATTGGTCACACTGGGTTTGAACAGGGAAGACAGCACACCCTGGGGGGTTCCACCTATTCCACTTTCCAAAGATTCTGCCTGTAAATCAGAGATTGGGATCCCAGAAGCAAAAATGTTTTGAATGCTTTCTTTACTCTTTGTTAATTTGGGACAAAAAGAGTTGTCAGAACCCAAGGGCTATTGCCTGGTGCCCCTGCTCCCAGAGAGGGAAAATCTGAGGCTTCTGGTAGAACTGTTTTCCTCTCTCTGGCTCCATTTTGGTTTCCACTGCCATTTCTCCTTTCCCACGGAGAACAGGGCAGCCTGGGTTATTAGTTCTAGAGATGAAAACTTTATCTTCTCCCAGAGGGAACTTGCTGCAAGCATAGGGTTGAACTGGAGTCAATTCTGAATGTGAATCTCATGTTTAAGAGCCTTGAAGGTTCTGATAACACTATATAATATTTCCACATGGTAATATCAAGTTCTAGAAGTTAAAAATGGGTCAAAATGCAACTCTTCAGTATCATGGTTCCCATGGGGACCCTATACTTTGGGCCCTCGAGCCTTTCAGAGGCCTTGACTCACCAGCCCTAACCTGGCCCGGGGTGCCAGATCTGACTCCCAGCCTCGACTATATGTCACAATATGACATGGGAAAAGCCACTTAGCCTCTCTGTGCCTCAGTTCCAGATCTAAAATCTGGAAATTCCGTGACCCAACCTCCAGAGCTCCGGCTACAATGCTTTAAATATGGCATTCTGCATTAGACGTGGACATGGGTAATTAAACACCTCATTACATATCTGTAGAATGAATGAAAGAATGAATGAATGCCAGTCAAGGCTCCAAAAACCATTCCCTTTCCTTGAAAACTTTGAAAGAACAATCAAAGGCAAAGTTCAGCAACTAAAAGCTGGAGACTTTGATTTGCAGTCACTGAACAAGTCGAAAAATCTTAGTAAGAGACACTTGAACATTTTAAGTATCATCTTGTGGTAATAATGACCTCTCATGCATATTTATGTGCTTAGCTTTATAATAACCACTTGAAAGACTGGGTTTCTCCCCCCCAGGGAATGAAGCTATGTGAAGTGTAACAAAATATTTCAAGTTCAAAGGTCCAAATATGTAAAATGTAAAATGCTGAAATTTCTTCCTCAAGTAGAAAGCACCTTGATGCTCAAGCCAACCCAAGGACTTGTTGATTCGCGGAGCTTGTGGACATTCAACTAAGCCTGGAAAGTCCCCAAACGCATGTCTCCCCCACCCCCAGTGTTCTTCCTAAGGAGCACTGGCCAGTCTTGCCGATGTGTGTGCACTTAGTCTGAGTCAAGACAGGTGAGGCTTGCAGGGGAGAAAGCTGGTTCTTAGTCAGGTGTTCAACAGAGAATTCCAAACAGGCTCCACCGCCAGAGCTGCTCTGCAAAACCCTACTGTTACAGTTACTCAATGTCATTCATTACCCTCTCAAAGTAAAATCATATGACCCCATTTCCTCAGTAAGCTAATTATTTTATTCCTTTGTATGAGGCAAAACACTACTTTTTTTAAATTAATATACTAAAATTAGGTTATACCATTCTGGACATGTAAAATTGAGTTTAGTACTTTCAAATATATATTTTTAAAGGTGGCTAAAAATAAATGGCTTAGACGTCTTTTCTTTTTCCAACTGAGCATAAATTTCCTTCCTGTGAAACTCCATCTCTTCCTGTTGTTATAGATGACATAATGCCATTTATTTTTCAAAGGGAGGGGAAATCATAATAATGAGGCCTTCAGAACACATTTCAAAATTCAGATATTTAATAGTTGAGAAAAAATAAAGAAACAAAAAATACAACAAAAGAGAATCACCCATAGGTTTCAGGAACAAAATCATTAAATGGAAAAATGAGAAGAATTCTTTATTTTTGGACCAATTTTAGGCACTTAAGAGTTTTCTTTTCTTCCTTTCCCCTTGATCAAAGTGAAGATATGATAGGGAATTCAGAAATTTCTCTTCTTGAAGAAAAGCAGAGATAACCTGTCCATCCTAGTGAAAGAAAGCACAAACGATTCACCTGACGGTGGACACAAAATGACTCCTTCATTCTCTCAGTTCTTTCTGCTGTAATGAAATTCCACCTGATACATCTAGCCATAGCACACTGTTAATTACTTTGCTATTTATTCAGTAGCTGCACAAGTGGAAAGCGATCTATTGCCAGGGAATTGTCTGACTCCTATGCTAAGTAGATGGCATTCCGATCCTAGGAGGTTGAAGACAGCCAAAGCCTAACTTTACCTCATTGCCAGGTCAAATTAGCACCTAGCAGGTCCTAAGGCATTTTTTTTTTTTCCTTCACTGCAAAAGACCAATAGTCCTTAGAAGTCAATAAACCGACCCTGGGCCTTCTCTGCTTGTTTTATCAGCCCCTGCTTCTTTTCCCCTGAAGATGGAAGGAAGGAGTAAATGTAGAGTTACACGGCATGGGTGAGGGCTTCATGCTAGATCTAATGGTAAGGTCTTAGCCTTTCAATCCATGATGCAAGATGTACTTTAAAAAAATGTGCTGTGTTTCCCAGAGATGAGCAAAAGCGTGAGTTCACATCTAAATAACTAGGAGGTTTCCAAGTCCACAATAAGACTCTATTCCTTTGCACTAGGCTTTCATCAAGCAAATGTGTGAATCTGTGGCCACATTAATAGGAGCCTGATGTGCCTTCTTCACTCTGGGGTCATTTGGTGGTCAGCTGAAAGGAAAACAGAGGCAGAGTTAAGACTTATCTTTGCAACCCCCTTGGGGTTTTCCAGGAGCTGGAGAAGCAGCAGCAGATGCTGCGGAGGTCCAGCTAAAGCAGTTACTTAAGTAAAGAGGAAGAAGCACAAATCTGATGACAATGAAAGATTAACCCACATTTCTCTTCCCTCTAACAACAGGGTGAGGTCTTTTAGGTGAGGATCTCTCA
The DNA here is from genome assembly GCF_000001405.40 of Homo sapiens. Classification (NCBI taxonomy): domain Eukaryota; kingdom Metazoa; phylum Chordata; class Mammalia; order Primates; family Hominidae; genus Homo; species Homo sapiens. Next base: position 163,369,474 of record NC_000006.12, read on the forward strand.
CTATACAGAGTAGAAAATAAGACCCTGTCTCCATGTCAATCTTCTCTCATCTTGCTCTGCTTTTTCTGTTTTCTTTGTTTGTTTGTTTTCCAGGAAGATTGCAAGATGCCTGGTCTTTTTCTGGAAGAGTAAAATAAGCCCTGAGAAGAGGGGCAGGTATAGGAGATCAAGAGAAAGACAAGCTAGCATCGAACACTCGACTTCTCGTTTCCACCTTTTGGTTAGACTCACTCCTTTATTCGAGTCATCAGGCCCACCGAGTGCCTCGGTCCAGCTCTGTCCCCTCTCCAAGACTTCCGGAGCCCACCCAGCCTCTGAACCCTGGCTACTGCCCTACCCCTGTGTGGCAGTGGCATCCCCGCCACGCACTCTCTCAAGGCCTCCATTGCCTCCAGCCTGCGAGGTGATGCCCTTGCTCCTCTGCCTTGAGAAAGGTCTGCCCTGCCATCGTTCCTAGCATGTGTCTGGTCTCCTACAGGACCTGGTGTGACACCCTGTGACCCATAACCTCAGCAAGGGAAAGGGGGGCCAGGGCACTCGTTCTCTCTCTAAGCTCCCTGTCACCAGATGTCAAGCCCTCACCCCATCCTGCTGCTCTGTGGATTCCCTTTCTATTTCCTTCCACTTGCTGTGTGGTGGGGAACCTTCCTATCCTCTTTCTTTCCTCTTCCACTTCCTGTATGGCGGGGACCTTCCTGTCCTTTTTCTTTCCTCTTCCTTCCACTTCCTGTGTGGCGGGGACCTTCCTATCCTCTTTCTTTCCTCTTCCTTCCACTTCCTGTGTGGCGGGGACCTTCCTTTCCTCTTTCTTTCCTATTCCTAGCTCCCTTGCTCCCTGCTGTAGAATTGAATCCCATCCAGTTCTGCAATAAAGCCAATTTTTCAGGGTGTCCACTGAAGCCTCTAAATGATGAGACATGTCCCATCGACGTTCTGAGACTCCCTTCCCTGGGGCTGACTCCTCATCCGTCTCCCCTTCTCTCCTGACTTGGTGGTGCTAGCCACACTCCTCTATCCCTGACCCTGTCAATGTGGACAGACACCATCTCTTTATGGGAATGTTATTTTTTCAGGGCTACGATTAGACTGTCTCTCTTTTTTTTCCTCCTGGTGGGAGAGTCAATTATGCATCAGAGTCTATTAATCTTATAAACAGTTATGGAGCTGAAGAGGCTGAATCGAACAGCTGAGGCTTTCAAGAAGTTGGAGTACCAGGGCCATTATTATAATGAAGTTTGGTGATGTATAATCATGTCTCTGGGTGACCAGGCACAATTCTTTAAGTCTGAGAAATGTAAATGATGTGAATTTTTTACAAAGTTTACAAAGCAGCCTCTTCAAAGCTTGTGCTCATGGCCACGAGCCCCCAGGTCCCCACTCTGGGGGGAGCACCTCCCTAAGCCCGATCAGCCAGTCTCTGGCACCCTCATCCCTGATGGGCTGGCAAATTCAATGGACTACAAGGCACTTCCTCCTCCTCCTCTTCCTCCTCCTCCTCCTGTCCTGCCCACACAGGGCCTGGGAAAGAGGACAGCTGGGCTGTGGATGCGATTCTGTCCTCTTCTACTGAGACCTGTTTGTTTGTCTGTCTCTTAAATTTGGTTCAGTGGCATAAAAAAAGAGAATTTATCTTTCTCCCCAGATGCAACAAACAGATGCTGGGGAGCAGAGACCTTGCATAGTCAATAAAAGATAAGTTATAAAATCTATAAAACTGCTGAAAGAAATCAGAATTTCAGCAAATTCTGTTTTTTTCTTATTTTCAGGCTGCTCCTTTTGATCAACAATGGGGAGGGGGGGGAAAGCTAGTCGTGCATAAACTTCCATCTGTTATTACAGCATGGAATGAATGTGGTTAGAAGAGGAACAGAGGACAGAGTGATATTTGAGCTGTGATATTGACAGAGTGGAAATAGAGAATGGTGCCAGTGATAAAGACAAAGCTGTCATAATCAATTAGCATTTAACTTTTTGTAAAGATCTTGGAGGCTATGGGTTCTTTAGATTTTAATGTGCGTCTTCAAAGTAATCTTGTAAGCTATTTAAATGATGCTCCCTTTTTACAACTCTACATAATTTGATTATACAAACCATCCTGCAATCCTTGGATATGCAAATGCAACACCAAAATGATTTTTTCCCATATTTTGATAGAATTTGATGTTCCTTGCAGTGATAAGAAGTGACACAAATTGCAGCAAGGCATCAGTAACCCATTCATCTGGCACACTTTGGACATTCAGATTTTCAATGCCTGCTTGTTGAGAATCACCCTTAAGAATAAAAATTTAGGCTGGGCGCGGTGGCTCATGCCCATAATCCCAGCACTTCGGGAGGCCAAGGCAGGTGGATCACAAGTTCAGGAGATCGAGACCATCCTGGCTAACATGGCGAAATCCCATCTCTACTAAAAATACAAAAATTAGCTGGGTGTGGTGGCTCGTGCCTGTAATCCCAGCTACTCAGGAGGCAGAGACAGGAGAATCACTTGAACCAGGGAGTCAGAGGTTGCAGTGAGCTGAGATAACGCCACTGCACTCCAGCCTGAAGAAAGAGTGGGACTCCGTCTCAAAAATAAATAAATAGAATAAAAACATAGAAACCGAAGGCAGGGCAACAACTTGTGTTTGGAGAAGATTGCCTTACATTCTGATCCTAAGGCTACAAAGATGCTGAGCTTGTAAATGAGATTCTCAGAGCCTCAGTTTCCTGACCTGTAAAATGGAAGTAATAAGCTGTAGCTCACAGAAAAGTGGTGAGGGTTATCAGTTAGAGTGAAAACACCTGGCAGGATATGGCGACGATGCTCATATGGCCCCCGCAGCTGTCATTACTCTAACACTACTACCATGTGTACCACCACTAATAAAAATCTGGGTTATTTCCCTGGCAATTCCTTGGCAAAATTAGGTTTCTTTTTTCTTTCTTTCTTTCTTTTTCTTTTTTTTTTTCAAGCAGAGTTTCACTCTTGTCGCCTAGGCTGGAGTGCAGTGGCATGATCTTGGCTCACTGCAACCTTCGCCTCCTAGGTTCAAGCGATTCTCCTGCCTCAGCCTCCCGAGTAGCTGGAATTACAAGTGTGAGCCACCACGCCCTGCTAATTTTTGTATTTTTAGTAGAGACGGGGTTTCACCATGTTGGCCAGGCTGGTCTCGAACTCCTGACCTCAGGTGATCCACTCGCCTCAGCCTCCCAAAGTGCTGGGATTACAGGCGTGAGCCACCACGCCTGGCCAGCAAAGTTAAGTTTCAAACGAGTATCACGTGGTGTAGTGATGCTGAGATTATGACAGTGGCTGAGCTCTTGGGTGATCTGAGAGGACGGGACAATTGTGATGCTTCTTTGAGGAGTCCTCGCCAGGAGAATCCCAGCCTCCAATGGCCGATCACCCATTCACCCATTCGTTCTGCATTTCCTCAGCTCCTTCAGTGGATCAGACAGTGTGCTGAGTGCTGAGGATGAAAGCAGGTACAATTGCAGGCATACTCCTTGACCTCTAGGCATTCATAGACTAATGGGGATGGACAAACAAATTACATTACCATGAATAAGCACCAAATGGGTGCAAACCAATCAAGTTCCATAGCTGGCAGTGTGAGGACAACCAATCTGCCTGGGGCAGTCACAGAAAACCTCACAGGGGAGGTAATGTTTGCGCTGAGGCATGAGAGAGGAGTCAGATCACTAGACAGAGAGCCTCAAGAAGCCTGTCCCCATCTGAGCAGGGCTAGAGACAGGGGTGGTTTGACCACAGGGGACATTTGGCATTGTCTACAGACATTTTTGATTGTCCTGACTTGGGAGTGCTACTGGCCTCTAGTGAGTCAAGGCCAGCCAGGGACATAGCTACAATGCACAGGACAGCCCCTGTGTGAGAAGAGTCATCCAGCCCCAAGGTCAACAGTGCCCAAGCGGAGACACCCTGACTTACAGGAGCCAGGCGTGCAGGAGCGGCAGGTCCGAGGGCACACAGGGCGTCTCCGGGACTCAGCGTGGCCCCGAGGTCTTCCAGTGCAGGGAGAGGAGGCTGTGCATGTGGCAAGGTCAAACCTTGGAGGGCCTGGAGGCCATCAGGAGTGAAGGTTTTGTCCTGTTTCTCCTTACACTTCCCCTAAAGGGGCCCCATTGTTACAGGAAACTAAACTCGGTCCCCCTTAACAGGTAGCAATAACATGAAGAGCCAAAGTTCCTGTATTATCCTGGAATTCAAGGAAATTTTGCTTTTTTCCATAATTAAAATGAAAAATAATGGTGTAGTCTTTTTCCACTAGAACTTTAAATAAAATCAATCCTTCAGGAAGACAAGTGTTCACATGGAACCCAGGATGAGATACGTGAACAGGCACAGAAAAGCCCTGAAGGGTTTGGAGCAAGGGGCTGGCCTGAGCAGATGTGTGGGTTCCTGTCCTTCTTCCCACAGGTGGCACCAGAGTGGGCCAGCTCAGGAGAGCTGACAAAACCCACGTCCCCAAAGGACTGACTCGTGGTTGGGTGCCTTTGAGATCCACGGTCACAGCTCTACCTTTGAGCTGTTCCCAGCAGCAGTGGGACCAGAGGAGTGGGTGCGTTACTAGAAAGAACACTGCTGAGATGCCAGGAGCTCTAAAGACCTGGGTGCGAAGAGCCCCGAGGCTCCTGGCTCTAAGTCTTTCTGGTAGGTGGTCACATGATGATGTCAGCTGGGGAGTCAACCGAGTCCTGGCTGGCCCCTGCACACCAACAGCACAGTTCTGGGCTGGAAGGGGGCCTGGTGGAATTGAACAGCAGTGAGTTTGATTTCCACTTCCTCAAGTTCATTCCTTTGAGTCTTGAGAGCTGTTTTGGCCTTCAAGAATCCCTTATGATACAAACCTCCCAAATCCCTTATCAGGCAACGTTTTAGCCCTCAGAAAACTCTTTAATATGGATTAACAAGAATGAACCTAGAACAGAAAAGAAAAGGCAGTTTGCTTTACAAAAGTACAAATACCATTAGTATCTCTACAAATATCTTTATTCATCTATTTATTTAGGTAAGACTCTTTCTCTGAGCTTCTAAAGCATTTTACTTTATGAGAAGCAGATCGTTTTTCCCCGTCCACAGGGCTCCAGGGTTGAGCAGAAGGCACTGGAAGAGAGAATAGTCATGGAGCCGTGTGCCTGTGTTCCTCCTTCCCAGCAGGTGTCACAGGTTCAGAAACGTCTTCCTTGCTGTCCACGTAATAGTCACAAAGTCCTTCACTCTTTCCAGCCTAGTTCCTCAACTCTATAACTAGGAGTTGAAAGCGGTGACCTGCACAGCTCCTTCAGCTCTAAATTTCTAAGACTGTAAGAGGCGAGCCAGTGGCTGAGAACTGGCTCTATGGTAAAAACTGGGGGGCGGGCCCCAAAGGTCCACCCAGAATGTCACTCTGGTTAGCAAAGGCAAGGCTGACGCAGCAGGAAAATTAGACTCAGGGCTGCTCCCTGTGCATCTCTAGGTGAAAGAGCTGCCACTGCTCAGTAAATATGTGCCCATAGCACTGGGGTGATGAAGAGGAAGGATGGCCCTACATTGAAAATTACGGCATTGCGGGAGGCTGAGGTAGCAGAATCGCTTGAACCCGGAAGGTGGAGGTTGCAGTGAGCCCAGATTGTGCCACAGCACTCCAAACTGGTGACAGAGTGAGACTTTGTCTCAAAAAAGAAAAGAAAAGAAAATTACGGCATTAAAGAAAGAAACCCAGAGCGCCTTGTGTGGGAGTGGGTGGAGTCCCGGGAGGAACAAGGAGGAGGACAATGAGGCCCCAGGTGGCTTGAGAAGACAACCACTTTGCATCGGAGTTGTCCCTTGCACTCACAACCATTCTGTCCCCAGGAGAGTTTTGTAAAAAGCGTTCTTCTCTTTTCATCCATGTGTTGCTGTGGTTATTCTTCAAGTAAGCAACGCCTGATCACATCAGGGCGGTTTTCAAGGGCAGCACACACAGGCCGAGTGCATGGTTTCATGTCCCCTGTGTGTGCATCAGCGCATCTAGCATTGCTCCTTTAATTGGATCTGCTGGCAAGTTTGTCCTACACACCCCAACCTCGGAACAGCCCTGGATGGATGAGCCCGACTGGCTCTTAGTGGAAGGAAGCTGGATCCACACGTCCCCGTGAGCTGGCCCTGGAGCTGGCACCCAGGGGGATGTGTGCACTGCCAGTTGCAGAGCTGCCTCCGGGTTCTGGGGGCTCCAACTGAACTGATGCCAGAGAGAGAGATTCAGGTCAAACGCATAATGATGGACTTTTGATCTTTTTTTCTTTTTTCTTTTTTCTTTTTTTTTTTTTTGAGACGGAGTTTCACTCTGTCACCCAGGCTGGAGTGCAGTGGCACAATCTCAACTCACTGCAACCTCTGCCTCCTGGGTTTAAGCGATTCTCCTGCCTCAACCTCCCGAGTAGCTGGGACTACAGGTGTGCACCACCACGCCTAGCTAATTTTTGTATTTTTAGTAGAGACAGGGTTTCACCATGTTGACTAGGCTGGTCTTGAACTCCTGACCTCAGGTGATCCACCTGCCTCAGCATCTCAAAGTGCTGGGATTACAGGCATGAGCCACCACGCCTGGCCACTTTTGATCATTTTTGAGCATTAACAACTTGGATTTGTTATATATGAAATATTCATAAATTGGCTTAATTTCACATTTTTATTGATTGATGCAGAGAAAGATGTATCTCAGCAATACCAGTTATTTTTCCCATTAAAAAGATATTTTTCTGATCATCATCTTTGCTGAGCTACCAGACTGCATCTCATTCCACAGACTGTTGCCTCAGCCGCTCCTGAGAACAAAGCCCACAGACCCCCTCCACAGCACAGCCTGCCAGCTCAGGCCCCTCCCAGTGGGGGCAACTCAGCTTTAGTGCCCCTCATGGAACCAGAGCCTTAGTGGGGACCTCTGGGTCCTGGGGACAGTCCCAGGCAGGTCCCGTCCAGCTGCCACACCTGGGATCTGATGCCTGCGGGCTTCTCCGGGCAGCGTGCTGTGTACATCATACTGGAAGTGTTTTGACTACATACTACCTGCGACGCCCTGTTCTAGGAACAAGGAGGAGGAGAAAGAGGGATTGTCTCTTTCATCCTCCCAGTGGCTCAGTGAGGACCACACCATTATTACCTCATTTTCAGCTGAAGATGTGGAGGCACCAAATAAGAGGCCTGCAGGAGCAGCCACAGTAGAGCAAGTTTTAAACTTAGGCAGTCTTGCTCTCAAGCGCAGGTTCCGGGCCACCATGGCAACGGCTCCCCAGATGTGGTCTGGGGAGCCTAGGCATGGCCCTTTCAGAGGGTCTTCAAGGTCAAAACTCCTGCTAAGTCACACTAAAATGTCACTTGCCATCTTCATTCAATACACTCGGGGGTAGCCTGGCGTCTCCCCAGCTGCTGGAAGAATGGTCACATCGTCACTCCAACAAATAAGAGAATGTGTGCTTGTGTGTTCTTGTATCTTTAAAATGTCTCTGTCTTCATTTCGAATGAGGTGAATATTGATAGATATAGGCTACCACCTTTGGGTCCTCAATAATTTTTAAGGGTGTAAAGAGGTCTCTCGACAGAGAGGTTTGAGAGCCGAGGCTCTGTGCTACTCACCTCCAGACCTGCTCCTTCTCTGGCCCGTGTCGCCCCTCCCAGCCTTCCTGCAGCCTGAAGCCCAGTTCCCAATCCCAGGCCTTCGCTGAAGCCCTGTGCCCTTGGGCCACCTCCTGCCCACCTAACTCTTGAGAACGCTGTCCTAGACCCCAGTTGGGGTGACATCTCCAGCTTCCAAATATGTCCAAAGTATCCATGTCTATGCCAGGCTGATCGGTCCTGAGCCAATCACACTCTCTCTCTTAGGAATCTGCCACTTGAATGGGGAGAGAGCCTGGACATCCTTGGCGTGGCAGCATGGTAACGGCAGCATCACAGAAAGCAGAAGAATCTAGCCTACCTCATATCCAGGTCTGGCTTCTGTGTTGGTTCCTGAAGTGGATTGTTCAGTTCTGCTGTGAATTCTCTGAGCTACCCCATTAGTTTCATATATCCTTTTATCACTTAAGGTTGCTCAGGGGAAAAAAGGGGGAGGGAAGCTTAACTAATAGGAAAAAGTTAGTATACCTTCCGATTCTCTCTCCTTATGATAATCTATGAATTTACTGTTGGACCCTGTCACCTGCCAAATCCCTCATCTCCAGCCTGGAAGCCACCATGCGTCTCTGTCACTGGTAGTACCCACATGGCCACAAGTCCCACACTAGCCTTGCGGCACATCAGGCCTGCCCGCCCTCGTGGTGGTCAGCCTCCTCCTCCTCCTTGCCCATCCCACATGTCCTGAAAGGAAACATTGGGCCACCTGCATGGGTGTTAGGATGAGACCGGGAGGTCTTCGGTATGACTGATCTACGTGGCCCTTAGAATGACGTATTCATTTGGCCCAACCTCCCACTGAGAAAGCTGAGCACCTCCTTCCCTGGAGCAGCGCAGATGATTGGCACAAAATCCTCCCCTAGAAATAAGCTGGCCCTTATGCAGCAAGAGAAAGTTTTGTTTTTTTGTTGTTGTTGTTATTGTTTTTGAGATGGATTTTCGCTCTTGTCGCCCAGGCTGGAGTGCAGTGGCGCCATCTTGGCTCACTGCAAGCTCCACCTCCCGGGTTCAAGCAATTCTCCTGCCTCAGCCTCCGGAGTAGCTGGGAATACAGGTGCCTCCACCGCACCTGGCTAACTTTTTGTATTTTTAGAACAAACAGGGTTTCACCATGTTGGCCAGGCTGGTCTCGAACTGCTGACCTCAGGTGATCCACCATGAGTATTCCCTTCCTGCTCTTTACCGTGGAGGGTGGGGGCTGTTGAATGGTGACTCCCAAAAGATTCCATTTCCTCATCTCAGGAGCCTGTGAATGTGGCCTTATTTGGAAAAAGTGCCTTTGCAGACGTAATGAAATTAAGGGTGCTGGAATCATGATGGGTTACCTAGGTGGGCTTTAAATCCAATGACCAGTGTCCTTATCAGAGGCACACAAAGGAGAGACAGAAGAGGAGAGGCCCATGTGAAGAAGGAGGCAGCCTGGAGTGGGGTGGCCGCAAGGCAGGGAACGCATGCAGCCCCAGAAGTGAGAAGAGGCAGGAACGGAATCTCTGTTAGAGCCTCTGAGGGAAGCTCAGCCCTGCCAACACCTTGATTTCAGACTTCTGCCTTCTAGAACTGTGAGAAACCAGATTTCTGTTGTCTAGGCCTAACACAGTGGCTCACACGGGTAATCCCAACATTTTAGGAGGCCGAGGTGAGGACTGCTTGAGCTCAGCATTTCCAGACCAGCCTGGGTGACACAGTGAAACCCCATCTCTACAAAAAAGATATATTTTTTTAATTAGCTGGGCATTGTGGCAGGTGCCTGTGGTCCCAGCTACTTGAGAGGCTGAGGCTGGGAGGATGACTTCAGCCTGGGAAGTTGAGGCTACAGTGAGCCGAGATCATACCGCTGCACTCCAGTCTGGGTGACAGGTGAGATTCTGTATCAAAATAAATAAATAAATAAATTTCTGTTGCTTTAAACCACCAAGTTTGTAGTGCTAGTTACGGCAGCTCAAGGAAATAACGCACCCTCCAAGATTGGGGGAGGCTTGTGACTCCAGGCAGGCCTGCCTGCTGGTCGACCCTCTGCTTCTATGCGGTGCCCCGACACTGCCATGCAGTGCTCTGGGCGGCCCTGGCCATTCCACTGCAGCACTCACTCACCAACACAGGATGGTCCCATCCCCTTCCTTCCTCACAGCTGCTAAGAGGACAAACCCTGCCACGTGGCCACCTTCTCCTGATGAACATAAAACTCCTCTCCATTTTACTGCTTTCTGCAATGCTCTGGAGTTGCCCAGTGATGCCCACAGATTCTTTAGTTACAATGACCATCTAAACTTTGCTTTCAGTATTATTATTATTATTATTATTATTATTATTATTATTATTATTATTATTTCGGTATAACTATCATGACCCATGTGAGTTTCAGCAAAGAACAAAGGGGAATTTATTCTTGAGATAAACAGGAGCTGAGGGCCGGAAGCTCCGCCAGGTCTTCCAAGGCTGGAGAGCCAACAGTCAGGAGCCCCCCAGGCCCAGTCCCTGGGCTCCCCTCAGAGCGCTGTTCCCTCTCTGTGGCCCAGCTTCCCTAACCTCTGTCCAACAGGTAACGATGGCCACCCCACCACACCCCGATTTCCCCTCAGCTCAAGTAAGCAGGAGGGAATCAGCACCTGGAAATTCCATTTCCAAATCGGTGGAGACATTCCCACTGGGAGAGGACCGAGATGAGGCAAAATGGGCAGAGACGTGTGGTATAAACATGGCTCCTGGGGCCCATTAGTGGGGAAGCAGGGTGGCTCTCAGAAAGGGGATCTGTGGAAGTGTTAGACATAACAAAGTTGTGCAGAAGGACAGGATGGTGATGGCGATGTTTCTAGAAGCTGCAACCCTTGAATATGGGGCCTCATCAAGGACCTCCTTGCCTTGAACCTCTGCACACAGAGGCCAACCTGGAAGCGTCCGTCTCCGACCACACAGTGTTGCTCCTCACCTTCCAGTCCCTTTAAGTTGTTCCCTGCTAGGCACATGCATAAGAAATTGTTGAAGAAACTACTTTTGGCTTCATTAACTTCCTCCAACCCTGCATCCTCCCTGCACCCCGAGATCAGGCTGAGCATCTGTTAGTCGAGAGTCCCCACCAAAGCATGTGTGCTAACCAGCCCTGCCCCCTGTGCCCCCACCAGTGCCCTGCTCTTTGTCTCGTTAGACACAGGTACAAACAAGGAAAATACCAACGTGCTAAACCACCATGCTCCTCCCCATCCCAGGGGCATGAGTTAGTTTTTCAGTCTTGGACTGAAGGGACAGACTCAATGTTAAAATCTCTGGAACGAGTGGAAGTTATACAGTTTTCCAGATGTGTATGACAAGCTAAGCAAAACTGAGCTAGAAAAACTGAAGTCACGGATTCCTACAAAGCTGCCAGGAGAAATGGAAAGGCAAAATACATGATTGGGCTGGGTGCGGTGTGGCTCACGCCTATGATCCCAATACTTTGGGAGGCCAAGGCGGGTGGATCTCTTGAGGTCAGGAGTTTGAGACCAGCCTGGCCAACATGGTGAAACCCCCATCTCTACTAAAAAAAAATACAGCCAGGTGTGGTGGCTGATGCCTGTAATCCCAGCACTTTGGGAGGCCAAGACGGGCAGATCACCTGAGGTCAGGAGTTTGAGACCAGCCTGACCAACATGGTGAAACCCTGTCTCTACTAAAAATACAAAAGTAGCCAGGCATGGTGGTGCATGCCTATAATCCCAGCTACTCGGGAGGCTGAGGCAGGAGAATCACTTGAACCCAGGAGGCGGAGGTTGCAGTGAACCCAGGCACCATTGTACTCCAGCCTGGGCAACAAGAGCGAAATTCCATCTCAAAACAACAAACAAACAAACAAAACCCAAAAATTAGCAGGGGGTGGTGGCGGGCGCCTATAATCCCAGCTATGCAGGAGGCTAAGGCAGGAGAATCACTTGAACTTGGGAGGCAGAGGTTGCAGTGAGCTGAGATAGCACTGCTGCACTCCAGCCTGGGTAACAGAACAAGACTGTCTAAAAAAAAAAAAAAATACATAAATGAAGATTGATTTGTTAATATACATGTAATGTCTTTGTGTAAAGTGATTTTTACTGCCATATTATAATTAAAATAAATAAATGCTAAGAAATATTTTTATTAAAAAGAATGAGGGTTCTCATTCTAAGCTGATCTCTAGGTACACATGCCTGGAGTCTCCTGTTCATACCCCCTCGATATGAGCACAGAGGGGCTCAGGGCCCAGGGCTCCGCCTTAGCTGACCAGAGGTCACTGACATGGATGTTCTTTGATTCCTGGGAACTCTAAAGAAAAAAACAATCCTGGCTTTGTGCATGAGCATAAGTGTGCAGTTAAACACGCAGCACAAAAATAAAAGCCCAAGTTCCCAATGAAGTGAGAGAAGCAAAAATAGTCAACAGGGAAATGGAAAGCACTGTGCCTGTGGCAACTCAGGTGGGACTCCCGCATTTCCCTCCACGCCTTGGGCACCACGCTCCGCTGCTCCTGCCTAATGGATTTGGAGAGGGCCTCCCAGCCAAAGGGCAGAGCACCCTGTTAGGTGCGAAAGTGAATAATGATGAACCCCAGGCTTAGTCCTGGTTGGATAAGGATAAATAAAATTAAAATTCAGAAATTTGCTTTAAATGGGTTGTTAATTGCTGTTGAGCTTTAAATATTTGAGTTTATTAATTTCTCCCTCACCCCCTGAATTATATTTCAGCAGCATTCCCCTGCTATTAGGCTATTAAATCAGACGTATCAAAAAGGAAGCATTTATTTATATCTTCAGAGACATGTACATCTAATTAAGATAGTGTTCCTGTGCATATTTTATATGAGGCAAATGCTGCCTCTGATTTCAGTTTAATCAGCTCTGAAGGGCCTTAGTAAGTGTTTGGAAGATGTGACTGGGGGTGGAGGAGGAGGACAGCCTATATCTTCTGAACATTAATTTCTTGAGGGCCCGCACCATAAAGATGTAGCTGTTCCTAGACACTGTAAAGCCTCCTCTTAAAGAATTCACAATGGAAACCTCCAGGAAACAAAAGATTTAGAAATTGGCTGTACTACCAGAATGTTTGTGTTCATAAAAATAAACTAACTAGCCATTAGAGACCACTGACTTCTAGATGAATTTATTACCTCATGTCATCCTCAAAACAAGCCAACGGGAGGGTGGTATTTTTGTTGTTGTTGTTGAGATGGAGTTTTGCTCTTGTTGCCCAGGCTGGAGTGCAATGGCGTGATCTCGGCTCACTGCAACCTCCGCCTCCTGGGTTCAAGTGGTTCTTCTACTCAGCCTCCTGAGGAGCTGGGATTACAGGCACGTACCACCACGCCCGGCTAATTTTGTATTTTTAGTAGAGGTGGGGTTTCTCTATGTTGGTCAGGCTGTCTCAAACTCCTGACCTCAGGTGATCCACCTGCCTCAGCCTCTCAAAGCGTTGGGATTACAGGCGTGAGCCACTGTGCCTGGCCAAGGGGGATATTTTTATCCCCATTTTGTGGATGAGCAAAACAGACTTACAGAGATGAAGTCCTTTGCCTAAGATGCAGGGCCAGGACTCAAACTGAAGCCTGCCTGATGGGGGCACCCGCTTTTTCCATTTTGTCCCTATTCATTGCCAAGAAAAGTCCATCCATTCTAGAACATCCTCAACCTCTTCCTAGATGGTGCTCCCTTCCCCCTCAAGGTGATGAAAATTGGTTCTTTGGGAGCAAAAAAGTCACATTCTTTTTATGTATAAAGCACAGGTATAGGTAACAGATGTACACAAAGAGATATCTGATATACTTATAGTATTAAAGCTTCAAGAGAGGAGGTGATTAGAAAAAGACATCGGGGGCTGGGTGCAGTGACTCATGCCAGCAATCCCAGCACTTTGGGAGGCTGAGGTGGGAGGATCACTTGAGCCCAGGAGTTTGAGACCAGCCTGGCAACATAGTGAGACTTCATGTCTACAAAACAATCCAAAAAAAAAAAAAAATTAACTGGGCTTGGTGGTGAGCGCCTATGTTCCCAGCTTTTTGGGAGGCTGAGGCAGGAGGATCTCTTGAGCCTAGGAGGTCGAGGTTGCAGTGAGCCATGATCATGCCACTGCAGTCCAGCCTGGGCCATAGAGTGAGACCCTGTCTCAAAATGAAGACAAAAATAAAAACATGTCTGAAAAGGCACTTTGGGAAGCTGCCCAGGAGAAAGGCTAGGAAACACTGTTCTAGAGCATCTGCAGTGGCATGCTGCCCCTGCATTCACTCACTCATCCTCAGGCACAGCAGCAGGCATCACCACCCTGCATTCCCATTCCTGCTATTATTTTATTTTTATGGCTCAGACATATGGGATGTGATATGGTTTGGCTGTGTCCCCACCCAAATCTCATCTTGAATTTTAGCTCCCATAATTCCCTCCTGTTGTGGGAGGGACCTGTTGGGAGACAAATGAATCATGGGGGAGGTTTCCCCCATACTGTTCTCATGGTAGTGAATGAGTCTTACGAGATCTGATGGTTTTATCCGGGGTTTCCCCTTTCTCTTGGTTCTCATTCTCTCTCTTGTCTGCCACCATGTAAGATGTGCCTTTCACCTTCCACCATTATTGTGAGGTCTCCCCAGCCACGTGGAACTGTGAGTCCATTAAACTTCTTTTTCTTTATAAATTCCCCAGTCTTGGGTATGTCTTTATTAGCAGTGTGAAAATGGACTAATACAGGCTGTGAACTAATTGTTAGCACCCAATGATAGTAGAACCGAGTGCCAGTGCTGGTCTGCAAATTTTATTGGACTGTGGTAAGTTTCTTATCTGATGGACCTTTGTCAAAAGGCAGTAGATTCCCTCTTCTAAAGGGTGATCAAATTCCCCATGTGATATCATCTCAAATCGTGGAAACTATCATTTGATACTTCCATTTGCTTATGTTTTAGGGCTTCTTTAGCCGGAGGTTCTTGACCCTTTTTTCTGTAATGTGGTACATGAAGAAGGTGGAGAAGGTATGAATTTGGGTTACATCAGCAGAACTCAGGGCTGAATCATGGGTCCACCCCTTTCAGTGCATGACTCCTTGGGCAAGGTATTGAATTTCAAAGAGTCTGTTTTTTTCAGTAGTAAATCCAAATGCCTGCTTCATGTCCAGCATTCTACACCTATTTGACCCTAGGCCCACACCGTTCAGTTATGGTAACCACAAGTCACGTGTGGCTATTTACGTGAACAGTCATTAAAATTAAATGAAATTTAAAATGTAGTTCCTCAGGCATCCTAAACACATTTCAGGTACTCAGTAGCCACTGGTGGGTACCAGTGGCACAGTGCAGAAAACGAATTTTCTCTCAACACAGAACATTCTGCTGGTAGCACTGATTTAAAGACTGGAAGCCCCAAGAAGACATGGGCCATGTCGGCAAGCGGGGGGGTTATTTTCCGTTGAACAGACTTTGAATGAGAACCAACTATGTGTAAGTCCTGATTTAAGCACAAGAGAGGATTTGTAATCAAAACAAAATTCTTACCCTTAAGGATGTGTTGCTATTAATATTTCAGGTCTTTGTGGCTTTTCTAATGAATGAGGAAGTCGAGTATATTGCTCAAGGATATTAGCACGGAGTCAGAGCCACTTGTCTTTGAGTCTGATCTGAATGATATGGGTAAATTTACCTACTCACTCTGAGTCTTAGTTTCCTCATCTGTAAAATGGGTACACTAGCAACTTCACAGGACTGTTGCAAAAACTTAATGAGGAAATTGATGTAAAGGGCATAACACAATGCCTGGCACAGTAGGTGTTCAAAAAGCTAGGCTCACCTTATTAAGATAAGAATCAGTTCACCAATTGCTAGTTTGTTCATATACTGGGAGATGTCCCCTGCTGTCTGGAATTTATTGATTTGCTATTAAGTCTCCATCTCAGGATGTTCCTAGAGGTGATCTGGTAAAATGCTACTAGTCATGCTCAAGGTGCCATAAGAATTCATTCCGTAATTCACATTTCAGAATTAACTGCTCACATAATAATTTTAACATTCTTGCTGGTGTTGATTGCTATAATTACAGAGTCTTGGAGCTTGAAGAAATAGGGAAAAAATAGTTGAATTCACCTCTTATAAAGAAAGTGAAACTCAGGGAGAGGGAGTGATTTGCCTAAAGTCACACAGCTATTTAGCGGCACAAGGACTAGAACCCGGGTCTCCAATCACCCTACACAAAAGCTTAGCATTTCAACAAGTTTTCTTCACTCTCTAGCTGCTTGGCAGCTGCTCTGCCTCCCAAAGGAAAGTTACAATAAACTCTTGGTCACCTATAAGGCAAATAAAGCTTCCTCATCTCTGGATGCCAAAGTAGGTGTTTATTTAAAATAACACAGAAGAGGGCCAGGTACGGCAGCTCCATCTGTAATCCCAGCACTTTGGGAGGCAGAGGTGGGCAGATCGCTTGAGCTCAGGAGTTAGAGACCAGCCTAGGTAACATGGTGAAACCCCATCTCTACAAAAAATCAAAAAAATTCACCAGGCATAGTGGTGTGCCCCTGTGGTCCCAGCTACTTGGGAGGCTGAGGTAGGAGGATCACTTGAACCTAGGAGGCAGAGGCCGTAGTGAGCTGTGACTGTGCCACTGCACTCCAGCCTGGGCAGCTGAGCAAGACTCTGTCTCGGCCGGGCGCGGTGGCTCACCCCTGTAATCCCAGCACTTTGGGAGGCCGAGGCGGTGGATCATCTGAGGTCCGGAGGTCGAGACCAGCTTGACCAACATGGATAAATCCTGTCTCTACTAAAAATACAAAATTAGCCGGGCGTGGTGGCGCATGCCTGTTATCCCAGATACTCCGGAGGCTGAGGCAGGAGAATGGCTTGAACCCGGGAGGCGGAGGTTGCTGTGAGCCGAGATCGCGCCACTGCACTCCAGCCCAGGTGACAAAAGCGAAACTCCATCTCAAAAAAAAAAAAAAAAAAAATACTCTGAGACGCTGTCTCAAAAAAACAAAACATCAAAATACCATAGAAGGCAATTCCTGGGAAAGCACTTGGGATTACTGAGTGAATCCCTGCTACCTGCGGCAGCCCCATGGCCCACCAGCCATTCACCTCCCCCGTTTTGGTCTGTTACCTCTTTTCTCCCTAAAGCCACATCCTGGAAAGGTATTGTTTTCTCCTTTCTGTTATTCCATCTGGAGAGTGTTTGGTGTCATCTAAAAGAAGATGAGGCAAAGGGTCTCCTTTTTTTTTCTGGTCATTGGATAGAAAAGAATCTTGTGCTTCACCCATTTTTAGTGAAATTTTTGACATGCTCAAATTTTGATAGAAAGGGAACTGATGTTAAGAGAAATCACACTCGGGTACAAGGGAGGGAATAAAATCCTCAACTGGGTTTGAACTTTCCTACCAGAAAATAAAAGGTTTTCCAAAAGTGATAAATTTTACTCAACGGAAAATGAGGTTGTGAATAAAGAAAGCTTTTCTTTCCCCTTAAAAAACGACTTTTTCTTGCTTTCTTCTCCTTCAGAGTCCAAAACTTTCTTTATATTCCCATTAGAAAGCACAGAGAATGAAAATTACAGCCGAGTCTGGATTAGTCATAGGCTGCCTGGATCTTCTTCATCCCCTGACATCTCCCAAGTCTCCATCCAATTACAGAGCTCAGGCCTGGGAGGCATAAGGTTCCCTCTCCTCACCCTCGTCCTTCTCTGGCAGAGGAAGGGAGGGAGGAGAAAAGTGAACAGCGGGAAGGACATTTCCCCCTGAACTGTGGCACTTCAAAGCCGAATAATAGAGAAAGTCCCTCAATCACCAATCGATTGAAATTACTAATGTGTGCAGACTTCAGATAGCCATATACATATTCAATTTCTCTGTCAGAAATTTTTTTTTAAGAATTGAACAATCTAGTGCGTGAGTAGCAGGCAGCAATACAGTTCTGCCTTTGTAGGAGTCAGACATGCAGTTATAGACCAACAGCTTTGTAGAAGTGAGTGGAGTCATACTTGGGTTTGAAATGTTACATTTTTTTTTAAGTGTACCGTTAATCTTTTTTCTTTTCTTTTTTTTAGATGGAGTCTCGCTCTGTTGCTCAGGCTGGAGTGCAGTGGCACGGTCTTGGCTTACTGCAACCTCTGTCTCCTGGGTTCAAGCGATTCTTTTGCCTCAGCCTCCAGAGTACCTGGGATTACAGGCATGTGCCACCACGCCTGGCTAATTTTTGTATTTTTCGTAGAGACAGTGTTTCACCACATTGGCTAGGCTGGTCTCGAATTCCTGACCTTGTGATCTGCCCGCCTCAGCCTTCCAAAGTGCTGGGATTACAGGCGAGAGCCACCACGCCCAGCCAAGTGTATGATTAATTTCTAAACTGTGATTGAATTTGTAACACAAGGCCCAGCCCTGCAATTGGACTCTGATTTAGACAATCATAAAGGGCTCATATTTCCTTTGGAATCTCATGGCATGTGGCATGTACAAACATGTCCCAACAGGAAGAGGAGGGAAGAGGAGGAAGTGTATGGATAGTTAGATAAAGTATGGAAACTGTCATAAACTTGCCTCCCATCCCTTCCCGCTCCACACACACACAGAGTGATGAACTTCTTTTTCCCATATGATGATAGCACTCATAACTGCTGGGGCCTTGCTCTGCGCTGAAGCACTCTGGATGTTCTGCAGAGCTATACAAAAATGGGAATTGATTTCTACTTGGATAAAGGTAACACGATTAAACCTGAAATTGGCTATGTGAGTATCATGACTTGTTTGGGATTAGGATAATTAAAGAGTAGAATTTCCTACCTGTTTGTGACGAGCTTTAGAGGACAGAATTCACTTGGGGAATCCCTGGGGACCTGTGGACGGATCTGGCACACCAGCAGTCAAGTTTTCCTCGGCTGTGTCTGAGGGGCCCAGCTCCCTTCCGGCCCCAGCAGGCCCAGCTGCCTGCAAGACCATGAAGGGAAGGCCCTGGAAGGTCTTGGGCCGCGTGGCCGGTGGCACTGGCTCCCTCTGGACACTCGTGGCTCTCCCTGTGGCTCCACACCACTCATTTCGGCTCCATTAACTCAGCTCCCAGTTTTCCAAGAGTTGCATTAATTTATGAGATGGTTTGGACTCACTCACTGGCCATGACCTTGGCCCTCACCCCAGGATATTATTTTCAGCATGTATCCTCTGGATCTCCCATTGCAACCATGGGCAGGAGGCGCTCATCCTTTCACGGCCCCACACCCAGCCCAGAGAGACAAAGGCCAGAGCAAATGGATTCCAGTCCCTGGACCCCAATTTCCAGTGAGGTCAGGGACCCAGGTGGGAAGTGAGCAGCGGGATGAAGTTGCAAGGGTGTCTCTGCTGCGCATCCCACTTTTACCATGATGTCCTGCATGCTTTTCTTCTGGAAGCACCAAAGGTCACTACCCACTCCTCCTGCAGAGAAAGCTGGCACTCACTCAGGTTTTAATCCTTTGGAGGGACAAACATACACATGTAGCAATTTGAGAAGATGCACAAAGCTATGTGTGAGAAGTGCCTGTGAATGCAGTCAGATCACACAGTCACACAAAACACAAAAAGGCTTCACAAAGGAACAGGGCCAGAGGAACTGATGTCCTACAGCAGTGGGCTTCAACCAGTCTTGAAGGGTACAATGGACCTGGATGGACAGTAAGATAAATGGAGACGCATTGCATGTAGGTGGTACCCACATGAACCAGCGCAGAGCAGCTGGATCTAGCTGACACACTGAAGTAACCAAGTACAGAATGGAAGTCCCCCATGATAGGGCCACAAAGAACTCTGCACAATGGGCACAGGTATTGTCAAACAGACACAGGTTTCATAGTAGCGGAGAGTCACCCCAGAGAAAATTGCTCAAGAATGGAAGACTCTGCAAATAGACCTGAAAGGAAGAAGCAGAACATGTATACTAGTATAGTATCAAAGAATCTGTATTTGTGTTGTTATTCTTCTGTGGTTTCTTTAGGTAATATTCTAAAACATAGTCAACCGTGTGTGCATTATAAATAATGTATTTTGTAATTTACATTTTTCTAATTGAAAAAATTTCAGGGATCACCCCAAGTAAATCTCATGCATGATTTAACAGGTGATGAATACAATTTTATCTATTTAAAAAATCTCTGAAATAGTGCTGTTTCTCAACCAAACAGAGCTAGAGAGTGGCCTTAATCCTTGCTTCCGAACTTTCATGAGATTATAACCTACCTAGAATGGTTTGCGTTACAGGAACTGACCAAATGCAGGGAGAGAACCAGAATAACTTAGTTTACCTTTCATTGGTATCGCACTTTAAACTTTGAAAGGCCACTTTAAATCTATTCTGTAATCTGTTCCTCACATCACCACGTAAGGCAGGGGCAGGTTTTATTTTTGCCGCTTGACAGAGAGCATAATCAATTTCCTAAGGGCTCCCTCACTAGAGAGTGGCAAGAAGAAGGCCAGACCTTGGGTCAACCCTCTTTTGCGTGAGCATTTATTGCTTTCACAACCTTGTACCCTTCCTCTTTTCTGAGGACACCACCTCTCTTCTTCAGGAAGACTGCTTCTCTCACACTCTAACCATCAGGTGCAAATGATGGCTACCAATCATCCACTCCCATCCAGGGCCTCTGACCCGGGCTAAGCCAACTGGTCTCCTGGGACTCTTCAGCTGGCATCAAGCTTGGGGTAAGGAGGTGGGCAGTTTTAGCCAAGATGTTCTGTTTTGTTTTTTCTTGCAGCAAAGTTGTGAGATGTGAGGGCAGGAGTAGCTGGTGGCTTAGCATTCAGCCATATGCAGGAGGTTTGTCTGAGAAAGTGAAATAACATGCAGGGAGAAGAGAAAGGAGAAAGTCTTGTTAGCACTCCAGCCCCTGGTTCCAGTGGTTTCTAAAGCTCAGTTGCTTCCTTGCCCTTTCCATGGTTATTTGAGACTTTCAGTAAAAACCTTTTCTTTCTTTGCTTAAGCTATTTCAAGTTGACACTGTGGGAGGCCGAAGGGGGAAAACATCTGAGGTCTGGAGTTTGAGACTATCCTGGCTAACATGGCGAAACCCCCATCTCTATTAAAAATACAAAAATTAGCCCAGCATGGTGGTGGGTGCCTGTAATCCCAGCTACTTGGGAGGCTGAGGCAGGAGAATCACTTGAACCCTGGAGGCAGAGGTTGCAGTGAGCCAAGATCATGCCACTGTACTCCAGCCTGGCTGACAGAGCAAAAACAAACAAACAAACAAACAAAAGAGACAAAAAAAAAAAAAACTATTTCAAGTTGAATTTTGGTTACTTAAGAAAACAAAAGGCTGGGCTCGGTGGCTCACCCCTGTAATCTCAGCACTTTGGGAGGCTGAGATGGGCAGATCACCTGAGGTCGGGAGTTCAAGACCAGCCTGACCAACATGGAGAAACCCTGTCTCTACTAAAAATACAAAATTAGCTGAGTGTGGTGGCACATGCCTGTAATCCCAGCTACTCAGGAGGCTGAGGCAGGAGAAGCACTTGAATCTGGGAGGTGGAGGTTGCTGTGAGCCGAGATCGCACCATTGCACGACAGCCTGGGCAACAATAGCGAAACTCCGTCTCAAAAAAAGAAAAGAAAAAAGAAAAGAAAACAGTTGTAAGAAATCTATCTGTCCTCAAGGTTATGCTGCAATATCACTTCTATCCACTTCAATACCATTTTCATATGTGAAGAAATATAGGCTCATTAAAGACAAACAGGTCACCCCAAATCCTACATTGAGTTACTGGTATAATTATGTTATTCACCACTGCATGTTATTTGGATCCTATATATGTAATCAGTAAAATTTCACATCCACTACCTCCTTTGATTTTCATGACAAAATGGAAACAGATGGAACAAGCATTGTTAGCTGTAATTTTAGATGAGAAAAGTAAGGTTTAGAGAAGTGAGGTGACTTCCCCACTGTCAATCAGCCTGTGAAGAAATAGGACTTGAAGCAATGTTCATTCTAACCATACCTCATTATACATCTGTACATACACACAAACACACAGACACATGTGCACACACAGGTTCATTTCAATAAAGAATAAAAATAAAGGCCAGGCGCAGTGGCTCATGCCTGTAATTCCAGCACTTTGGGAGGCTGAGGCAGGTGGATCACGAGCTCAGGAGTTTGAGACCAGCATGGACAAAATGGGGAAACCCCGTCTCTACCAAAAATACAAAAATTAGCCAGGGGTGGTGGCGGGCGCCTGTAGTCCCAGCTACTCAGGAGGATGATGCAAAAGAATCGCTTGAACCCAGGAGACGGAGGTTGCAGTGAGCCGAGACTGTGCCACTGCACTCCAGCCTGGGCGACAGAGCGAGACTCTGTCTCAAAAAAATAAAATAAAATAAAATTTAGTGAAATCACTATCCTTCTTAAGATTTTGTTTAATAAGTGTTTTAAGGTATCGCCCATAATTATTTGCTCTTTTGCATCCTGCCAAAATATGGGTGTAGGAACCACCTGGCTTTTCTGCAGTTCTAATTGGTATAAAATATTTTCCATTATCTTGAGACTTGATAAAATATAAATAGCTTGTACTTTGTCTCTCTTGGTTTTGATACCTAATGGAATGTGAAAAGGCAAGATGACACATAAAAAGAGAGCAAAAGATAATTAATGCAAAGATTAATTTTGGGAAACCTCCAGAATTACATCATGTGATTAGTTCACAGTTTAGAAGCCTTTGGTGGAATTACATTCATGCAAACAAATTCCATTCACATAGTTCAGGGAAGCTGAATGATTTTATAGATGAATTATCCTTAAAATGTAAGGTTATGTAAGTCTTACTCCTCATTTTCTTCCTGATATCGAGCTTAAACAGTCAAGAAAAGCCAAGATCTGGCACTCAGTTTTTTATGGAAAAATCGATGGCAGATACTAAAATGGTGGAAAGAAGGCTGCCACTAAGCTAAAGTACAGCAACTTTTTAAATGACATAAATGCTCCTTGAAGGCAAGTAGCCAAGGTTGGTAGTCTCCAAATGTCATCTGTGCTGGTTTCCATGTCTTTGTGCAATGCTGTACAGGGGTGAACTGAGTAAAAGGCTAGAATGGATCTGTGGTTTTCAAGTTGCATTTTTGTTGTTGTTGTTTTAGGGAGTGACACATACAAAACTATTAAAGGTGGACATAGTAGGAGTCAGGGAGGGAATGCGGAAGCCCAGGGCTCTTCCATAGCCTCCAGGTGAAATGAGTTCTGTGACTCACTTGAAGTGTTTATGACACAATATTAGCTGCCTTTACCATACGCTTAAATATTGATTACAGTAAAATGATTGTAACATAAAACATCACTCAGTGGGACTCCTTCCTTAGGTTATGAAAATTCAGATTTAAGATTCAACTATGTAGATAACACAATAAACCAAAAATAATTAAGCGAACTCATTACAAATTTGGAAAATAAAATGTTTGTTTGTTTGTTTGTTTTTTCCTCCAGCTGAATTGACTGGTTGTTTGTCGGTATGGACAAAATAAAATGATTATTTCATTGTGAGAATACTTCTTGGACAGCTTCTCCCATTTACAAGCCAACTCTTTTCAGACGAGCTTGTACACGTACACACTGTCAGAGAACAGAGGAAGACAGGTCAGGGTAGTTTTGAATTTGGCATTTAGCCAGTAAACTTTTAATTTCATTTTGGATTCAGGCTTAGCTGTGAAACATGTATGTCTCAGTCTAGGGCAGTAACAGTTTCAGGCTGGAGAAATCTCACAATGCATAACTGCCACTCCCAGTGTCTCCATGGAAACAGCTGGGGGCTGGTCTGCCAGTTCCTATCATGTTTGAGAACCATGTGTAATCACTTTGGAATAGGCAGTATTTTTAAACTTTGCAGTGAGTTGGGTGAAAGCTTCAGGGATCAAATATTTGAAAATGTCTGAGGAGTAAAAATCATGCCATGAGATAAAGCTTTGTGAGAAAGAGACAACGCAAAACGGTCACTTTTAATATTTCAATTCTGAGTTAAGACTTCATATAGATATTTTCATTTATTCCTTGCCATTTTAATACAGATTCGGATAGGTTCTTGTTTGAGAAAAGAGGTTCTGCAAAGCTTTTCTACTTACATGAAACTCCATGGTAATGACGCTGTACTGGAAAAAAGAGAGGTTAGATAAAAGATGAGGTCTCCAAGTTTTAGAGTGAAAATGCTAAATGTTGCTTAGATTTTGTGTGTATTTAGTTGTATTTAAAAAGGTAAATGAGAAATCATTTGTATACTGGTTTCTGAAAGATATATTTGAGTTTATTAAAACTTTCAGATTTTTTGTACTTTACTCAATGCATGACTATTTCACTGAAATTCTCACGTTTTTGTTTTGGTGTCAGGAGAGGCACTGTTTTGACAGTATTTGCACATGGGATTTACCTCCATCCTTGGATATATTTCTGTGACACCAGAGCAGTTTCCATGAAGGCCCTGGAAGGGAAATTTTCAATCAACAAACAGCAAAGGAGCCCACTGACCATGGGCACACTTTTTTTCTTAACAAATATTATTGCTGATGTCTTATCACATAATCAACTCATTATAGAAATTACGGCTAAGCAAAATAAAATGAAACCACACTAATAAGATAAAAATTCTATGTTTTTCTATTTAAAATAAAAATATTACTATAACTTTACCCTTTCATGATTATTTACATAAAATAAATTCCCAGAAGTGAAATTATAGCCCCCCAACACAACCTAAATCTTTTGATAACTATTACCAAACTGCCTTGCAGAAATCTCCTATCAATTTATAGTATTATCATCAGTATATGAGAATGTCTGTTTCCTCTCCTTGTTAACCATGGATAATATAATTAAAACATACTTTTCCATTTTATAGGTAAAAAAATAGTTTTGTGTTAGTTTCATTTTCATGGATAAACTTCGACACTGAACAAAGTTTGTCCCCAGCTCCCTCTGCCCTGCTGGTCATTTCTCTTGTGTGCTACCTTACACCTCCCCATTCCCTAAAAAAACCCCTGTATCTTGGCTTTCAGGGAACCCTATTCCAGTACATTCTAGTATGTGCCTCCACAGAACACTGTTGCAAGGGCCTGACCTTTTCCTTCCTTTGTGGATTCTGTGTTTTAAAACAGAGCTGGGATGGGCGTGGTGGCTCACGCCTGTAATTCCAGCACTTTGGGAGGCAGAGACAGGCAGGTCGCTTGAGCTCAGGAGTTTCAGACCAGCCTGGGCAACATGACAAAACTGCAACTCTACAAAAATACAAAAATTAGCCAGGTTTGGTGATGTGCGCCTGTAGTCCCAGCTACTCGGGAGACTGAGGCAGGAGGATCACTTAAGCCTGGGAGGCAATGGCTGCAGTAAACCATGATTGTGCCACTGCACTCCAGTCTGGACAACAGAGCAAGACTCTGTCTCAAAAACAAACAAACAAACAAAAATGAAAAACAAAAAACAGCCTTCTTTTTTCTTTCCTGCTCAGGTTATTCCAACCTCTAATTTTAGTCAGAGGTTAGCACTTGATAATGCCATCCACCCAGAAGATATATATGTATATATATACTCACATATATACTATCTATATATTAAAGGTTAATAACTTTAATTAACTCAGCAAAATTAAACTTTAATTTTAATTCTTAAAATTTCCATGACTAATATTTTTGTTAAAAGAATTAAAGTCCACTGGCTCGGAACATATTTTTAGCCAAGAAAGCCTTCTTGGAGACCCTCAGCTTACTCCACGCAGATCAGGACCATCCACTGTGCACGGTTAAAAGGCCAACTCCACCGTTTTCTGTTGAGTGTCAGCTGGGAGGAAGCCAGTCTCTGTCTAGACCTGTTGATGGATGTGGGGTGGTCCCTTCACACAAGGCAGCAATGCCTACCCCAGAGCCAGGAGCCACTTGAAGTGTGGGACACAGTTGAGCTCAGTAATCCACCATCAGTAGAGGTAATAGTTCTGTTTATGTATAGATATTTATTTATGCATAAAATGATGACTAAGAGTGTGTGTGTGCATTTAATTTACTTGATCAAAGCCATCCAACATTCACACAAAAATATTTACTGAATACCCCCACTGATTCCCAGAGTTTTCTACAAAATGCCCTTCTGAAATACCTTCCAAGCAATGCATTACCTCCCCCAGGAGGAATCTGGAACAATTTTTTGAACTCTTTCACTAACTTTTTCTTTAAAAAATGTAGATACAGTTTTCTTTAAACTTAGATAGAGCCAGGTACCTATTCATTCAGACAAGTCAGTAATAAATGACTAGGAAATAACGCTGAGTATGACAATTCCCTGTCAGTGTAGCAGATGAAAGAAAACACTTTCTGTGTGAACATTCCATCTTAGTTTTTATTGATGAAACATAAAGACACCTTGGTTGTAAGCTAAGAATGTGTAATGCTGATTACAACAATAGTTACATAAATAGACCAGAGTCGGTTATTTATGTGGACTTCAAATAACAGATTTTGTTTGGAGTGGGGTCTGGGATGGAGAATAGAGTACGTTCTGTACTTTCATGTGAAAGAAATATTATCAACAACTAATTTTCAGTTTGTCACAAAATGCATAGGGAAGCCTTCCGTATGCTTCAGGGAAGTTGGAGATTTATTTCTGCTTTGCCTCCCTTCAGCTAGAGAAGCAGTGTGGGCCTGAAGCAGGATTTCCCAATCTTTTTGTACCCTGTGAGGATGGATGAAGAGAGCTACGCTAATTATTCATTGCTTGAATCAAGAAGGAATTTTTGAAAATAACAAAATCTTCATATTTTAGTATATTAAGATCTAGAAATGAAAACCAGTATCCGTTGATGGGTTATATTAAAAAAACACACACACAGAAAAAATACACTTTTCAACCTACTGTCATGATACACAAATTTGAAAGTTAGTGACAGAGCCCTGGGCCCTTCCGGACCAGGGTCTGATGGGCTGCTTGGGCATTCTGTGTTCACTGAGAACAGAAAGGAAGGGGCAGGCGAGGGAGATGATTAAAGGTTGGAAAGATGACTGTTGCTGGCAGTGTGATATTAAGGCCATTAACTGAGGTGTCTGCACCTCAGTTCCAGTGTGCTAATATATTATCCTATCTGTTAAAATATCATAAAGATTACCTATAATTAAAGATGATTTACACTGTAAGCCATAACTCGATATAATTTCATGCAAACACATTTAGGGTGAATTCATCTTAAAGTGGAATTTAGCTAGCCTAATGAAAACAGCATCTAAAAGCCACAGAAGAGACAGAGGGAAAAAGACAGCGAAAACGGCGGTATAATACAAACCCTAACAACTCCTTCTGGGATCCAGACTCACATGATCTGTGGTGAAGGAATTTGCCTAAAGCCCTGCTTAAACAAACTATTGATGAGTTCTTTATTTTCAAATTTACAACTTATTTCCAACATTTAAACTCTGTCCTTAACTTTTTCTTCACCACTGGGAAGAGCCAGGCCAGGCAGTTCTGCGTTTGCAATGGCCTTGTCTTATTTTACATTGGGACTGACTGGAAACAACAGTTAGATTTGCAACTCCAGAAAGCAAAGATGAAACTTTGTACTTTCTTTTGTATCAAGCTGTACCATTTATTTCTCCCCTGGCAACAGATTTCAAATCTCTCCTCCTCCCCCTCTCTCCTTCCTTCCTTTTCATGGGAACTGCTTGGTGAGTGCCGAAGGAGGATCTGACAAAGCTGATTGTGTGTGTGTGTGTGTGTGTGTGTGTGTGTGTGTGTGTGTGCAGGTGCGTGTGTGTGTGCATGTGCGTGCCTGGTTTCTGTGTCGGTGTGTGCAGGCACGCATTAATTAACGTAATTCCTCAACATCCAACAAGAGCGCATCAGAAACCCGGGAGAAAAAGCCTCATGCATATTTAGATGAGACTTCTACCTTCCAACCGGCGTGAAAAGAGTATTTAGAGGGGAGTTGGTCTGGGCTAATCTGCATGTGAATCAGGGGGGTGGACAAAAGGATGAAAAGGTGGTGGAAACTCGAACACAAACCCTGCGGTCTCCAGGGGGTCATTCATCTTGCCCCGGTCGACATCCTCGCGGCCTGGCTTCCTTCTGCGCATGAGCGAACAGAGCCTTTTCCCAAAGACAGTTGGCAAAGGGTGCGTGTGCTTTGTTCTGTCGGGCACTTTTTTAAGAAACAAAATTTCTTTACCCGTTCTATTTGACTGACTTCTTCAGGCTTCTTAGCTGCTGCTATCCATAGGAATGATGCAACTATTATTTAGTAATTTATACAAATATACAAGACAGAAATTCATTGTGATAAAATATACTTAAAAATTACCATATGACCATTTTAAAGTGTACAATTCATTGGCATTAACTACATATACAATGTTGTGTAACCATCACCAACGATTTCCAGAACTTTGTCATTATCCCCAGCAGAAATCCTGAATACTTTAAACAGGAACTCCCAGCCCTCCCCTCCCCACAACATGAACAAGATTGATTAGGACTCTGTTCTTAGAGACTCTTCACGGAGTTAGTCTCCTGACATTTGATTTCGGAGGAGCTGGGGTGTGCAGAGCAAGGGAGAGTGAAGGAAGCCAAAGTTCAACAGATGAGAGGAGGGTAGGAAAGTCTTTTTTCCTTAGCGTGGTTTCACTGGAATAATGAACTCAGAGCCTGGAGATGAATATGGAGAAAGAAAACCTCAATGTCAAATGGCCAGG
The DNA here is from genome assembly GCF_000001405.40 of Homo sapiens. Classification (NCBI taxonomy): domain Eukaryota; kingdom Metazoa; phylum Chordata; class Mammalia; order Primates; family Hominidae; genus Homo; species Homo sapiens. Next base: position 163,397,731 of record NC_000006.12, read on the forward strand.
CTGGTTTTCACCAGCATGAAAGACGAGGAGAGTGACAAAGTTAAGCAACTTTTGAAAATTTTCTATTTTGATAAGGGATTGGTTTATACAAGTAAGAATTTCAAAATAAAATCCAAAACAAAATTAAAAAATACAAGCCTGGTATTCTAGTGTTTGAGACACAAGTGGAATATACACTTTACAGAACTAGCCCATCAAATATTTGGGGATAGCCTGTATTTAATCAAAAGACTAAAGCGAAGGCTGGGAGGATAGTCTGTATAACTAATGGTAAAAATTAATTTATGTTTCTGATTTTGTAAATCTCTGGGGTTGCAACTATGTTGCTTTAAATGAAAAACAGATAAAAATATCATTAATTAAATTCTAGTACAAGGAAACACATTGTGAAGGAAATTTGCAGATTTCCAAACTCCCCAAATTCACCATTTACTTTTAAAAATCTTTAATAGGACAAAAGTTCAGCACAATAAAACAAAGGGGCAGTTCTACTGAGTTTGTGCTAATGGGACCTTGTTTGTTCTAGTGTATATAGCAAGACTCCTTTCCTAAGAAGGAGTATTATCCATGGAGACCACGTGTGAGTGACTAATACTCTTCTCCCCTCAGTGGAAGCCATGCCTGTTACAGTCACTGATTATTTAAGGAATTTTAATATTTTATGTAATGTGAAGATGAGATTATCGAGACAGCTCTCAAGGCAGGTGTTAGAGGGAGTGGGGCTGAGGCCCAGGGAACTGGAGGTAATGGGCAAAGCTGGTAAGTTGGGAAGTACTGGGAAAACTGGCTTTAATCAGCTTAAACACAAAGGAGGCTTATTACCCAGGTAACTGAGGAAGGTGAATCAAACATTAATGGATGCTGGAGTTGAAACGACGCCCTAAGGAACTGTTCTTCCACATTGGCTCTGCTTCCCCTGTGCTGGCTTCTTTCTTTGAAAGAATCCATAGGATATCTGCATCCTCTAAAGCCAGCAATCTCACCCAAAAGGAGAGATCCCCTTCTCCTGAATGCTTCAGCAATAATTGATTAGGCCACAATAACTGATTATGGGTCAAGAGGCTGCCCCAGAACTGATCATGTGGCCAATGGCTCGGAGCCTCGGCTGTGTGTGCACTGCCTGCCAACTTGGTGGTGCAGAAATTAAGCCACAGCAAATCATGTTGTAGATTCTCACATAAGAGAGGGAGTTTCTTACGGGGAGGAGGAGGAGGAAGTAGAACCTGCTGAGCAGACCACAGCTGTATCTCCCACAAGGCACTGCAAGGCTGGCCCTTCCCTGAGCTCTGGACACACACGTGTTAGTAAAAGCTGGCTAGGCTGCTCGCCAAGTGTGTGAAGGCTTGTTTCTTATTTACGCAACGGAACCGTGCAGTGGACGGGCCTGAAGGATGACCTTCTCCATGCTCTCATTTTGGGACTCACATCTTCAACACATCTCCTTTCCCTCTAGCCTGAATGAGACAGCTGATGGTGAAGGCAGGGGCCGGATTTGTAGGCCAGGCTGGAAGGAGTACAGCTCCTATTCCACTGGCTGGCACTCAGACACATGGCCATATGGGAGGTGGGAAATGGAAATAGTTATGTGCCCAAGAGCAAGAGAAAACCAATTTTGAACTGCTATCAATCTTTGCCTCTTCCCACTACTCTGCAAATGGGTCAAAAATCTAGAGGCACTTGGCCAGGCGTGGTGGCTCACGCCTGTAATCTCAACACTGGGAGGCTGAGGCAGGCGGATCACCTGAGGTCAGGAGTTCGGGACCAGCTTGACAAATATGGTGAAACATCGTCTTTACTAAAAATACAAAAATTAGGTGGGCGTGGTGGTGGGCACCTGTAATCCTAGCTACTCTGGAGACTGAGGCAGAAGGATTGGTTGAACCCGGGAGGCAGAGGTCGCAGTGAGCCGAGACCGTGCCACTGCACTCCAGCCTAGGTGACAGAGGGAGACTCCATTTCAAACAAACAAACAAACAAAAAACTCTAGAGGCATGTGCAGTGGCACACGAATAGCAGTTACTGAGTTCTTACCACGTGTTGGTGACTGTTCTAAGGGCTCTGCATATATTAACTCCCATCGCCCCCTTATCAACCTGTGAGGTGGGCTGGGCATCCCCTTTGGAAGATGAAGAAACAGAGGCACAGTGAGGTTACTTGCCCAAGGGCCAACGTAGAAACTGTTTGGAGCCGGGATTTGACACAGAACGAGATGACCACACAGGATTACTTTTGAGAGGACTGCGTGAGATGATGTTTGAAAGGCCCAGATTGTGCCGGGCACATGGAAAGCGCTCAAACAGTGCGAGTCATATTATTAATATGTTCCTCAGGTGAAGCACTGTGCCGCGAAGGAAGGCTGTTCTGGAGGTAGAGCTTTGAAGCTGAAAGACGGATGTTCACAGAAGCAGGCTCCATAATGTTGTTCTCTACTGAGTCTGCATGACTACTAAGGAGACTAGATCCACAGATTAAATTAGAACAACTGTTGTACCAGCCCAGGGCCATGGAGGGCACGACCAGCCATCCCCGCTGACTGCACCCACGGTTTCCCCGGGCAAGACCTTCTTTCCTCCTTCCCCCTGTGGCAATTCCCTTCTGGTCTTGTCCAGTCTGACTCTTGTCAGCTCCTCTAGGAGTCTTCTCTCCACAGCCTCTCCCTGTTCTAGTCCTCAGGTGGAGTTAGTTGCTTCTCATCCAACATTCCCACAGGAGACCAAGGATAGTCCCATTGCAAGACCTAGCTCATTGCTCTGTAATTTTTGGTACTTGCCCTCTTTACCACTCTGCAGAATTCCTGGAAGGCAGAGACAATTACTTCCCGTTGTACCCCCAATGCCTCACATTGTGCATGATGAAAGGAGGCAGTCTAAAGGTAGTCTATTTTTTTAAGAAAGAATAAAAATCAGTGAGCAGATTGATTTTTTAAAAAAGACATTAATAAGAATTATAATAAGAACCAGTTTTTATTGAGCAATCACTGTATTCCAGGCATAGGTCGGGGGTTATCATTGCCCAATGTCATCCTCATGGTAGCATGATAAAATGGGCATTATTATGTAAACCAAAAAGTTTTGGAGACAGGTCTCAATCAATTTAGAAGTTTATTTTCCCAAGGTTAAGGACATGCCCAGAAGAAATAAACATGGAATCACAGAAACAATCTGTGGTGTGTGCCTTTCTCCAATCTTGATTTTGAGGGCTTCAATATTTAAAGGGGAAAAGAGAAAAGGAGCAGGTAGGGGAATCGTCGTTACGTATTCCTCTCTACTCAGTAAATCGTGCTCAGTAAATTGGCAATTTATGTAACATAAGGTGAACACTGAGAAGCTACCTGTGGAGATGTTGAAGCTTTTATCTGTAGCTCTCTGCTTAGGAACAAAAGGAAAGGCCGCATCTTGCATGACTCAGCTTTCAGCTTAATTTTTCTTTTGGCAGAGTGAATTGTGGTCCCGATTTTTAATTTCCCTTTCACAATTAGCATCCCCATTTTGCAGCTGAGAAGACTGAGGACGGCTGAGCTCAAGCTGCCTGCCCGATGGCACCCAGTCGAGACACAGCTTTTCCCCATTGTGCTGTATTGCCTCACTGGGCCAATTTAAATTCAACAACAGAGACCCACATCGTGCTGTACGCTAGAGGCACAGAGCTATCAGGGAGGAACACGGAAGACAAGTGCAAGGGAACAATGGCCCGGAGGGGACATCTTTGTGGGGGAGGGGTAGGAGGGCAGAGCCCTAAGACCTCAACCAAGAGGTCTCCATGATGGACCCTGGTGGCAAACTGAAGGTCAAAACAAGTAGCCTAAAGCCCAAGGGAGAGGCCTTTGTAGGGGAGAAGGAGAAGTGTCTTCTTTGTTAAAGGGTCAGGGATTGGGCCTGGACCCAAGAGCTAGGCACAGCTCGGTAACAGCAAACGTGCGCAGACCAACCTCTAGCTACACAAAAGATGAATAAGAATGCTTCGGAAATATTCAAAGCAGTTGACCCAGGTCTCCATTGAAACATAAATGAGGTCAAGCTCTGGGAACCACTGCTGGTAGTTTTTTCAGATTCTTTAGCAACCTTGTAATTTTCCCAATGTCGGTAATTTTTAAAACTCTTTGACCTTTCTATAACCAAAACTCCTATGTCCTTTTTCTAATTTGTGTTTGTTTTGGAGGCAGCAGGGATGAGGAGAGATTGGGGAAGCTGTGCCTGGCTCTGCAGTGGGCCCTGGAAGAGGCTGGCAGAGACACTGGGTGCAGTAGGCACCTCCATGCTGGGGGCTGGCCGAGGAGAAAAGAGACAGGTGGGAGGGGGCTGGGTGGATGGCAGCTCCCTGGAGACGCCATAGGACACAGGGGATGGACACAGTTCTTTTTAGACTCCCAGCACTTCACTCTTAGCCCCAAGGAGGATCTGTGTCATATAGAAATTCGTGGTAGCATTAGGGAGAAGCCGCGCACTTACCTCTTTATCACAAGTGCAGTTTAAATTAAATTAGGAAGGAGAGACTACAAGCTTTGCAAAGCTCCCTTGTAAGAATCTGGGGATCAGAGACACTTGACAGCTGAAATCACCTGAGGCTTGTTATTGCCAAGGGTGAGCACGGGTTCCTGAAATAGTTGGTTGAAACTGCTGGGCCCAGGAAGCTTCTGGTTACCGTGCAGGTCAGGCCCAGGTAGAGCAAACGGTGAAGTTCACTTAGTAGGAAGGTTTCTCCCCAGCTCTGGGGCTTCCTGTTGATTCTTAAAGGGGAAAAATATATGGTGAATGACAAAGATTTTTAGTTTTGTGATGTCGACCAGTAATTTAATTCAATTCCAATAAGAAATAAATAACAGATCCAAGGACCCTCTTATTTTGAAATGTTTTCTAATATTTTCCAGTGGTTAGCATTACTCAGAACCAGGGTATTTTCTTTAACAATTCAGATCTTGCAAATGATTTCAAATGGGGCACAGAATCTGAAGCTGCCTGGCACCAACACGAACTCTAGGACATAAAGGAGGGCTGGACCTGCCTGACACTATGGGGTGGAAAAACAAGCTAGACCTTGAGCCGGCAGGGCAAGAACTGGTGCACAGGCCATGAAATACTGTGTGCGTGTGTGCGTGTGTGTGTGTATGCGTGTGTGTGTGTGTATGCGTATGTGTGTGTGTTTAGAAAACTTTTGAAAAGCAAAACTGCTTTTAGGTTCACTTTCCAGCAAAGGAGAATTTTTTTTTGGTGGGGGGGAAGGGAGGACAATTTCCTTTATCGAAATTTTTTCCTTTGCTCTCTTTTTCCTCATGTAATCCCTATTTCCTTTCTTGAATGAATGCTGTAAAGATAAAGTTGAGACTATGGAATACAATGTCAAATGAAGGGTAAATAACAATGAGAAATTGTATGTTAGCAATATTTTTTTTTTTGAGATGAGGCCTCGCTCTGTTGCTCAGGCTAGAGTGCAGTGGCGTGATCTCGGCTCACTGCAGCCACCACCTACTTGGTTCAAACGATTCTCCTGTCTTAGCTTCCTGAGCAGCTGTGATTACAGGCACCCGCCACCCACGCCCAGCTAATTTTTGTATTTGTAGTAGAGATGGGTTTTGCCATGTTGGCCAGGCTGGTCTCGAACTCCTGACCTCAAGTGATCCACCTGCCTTGGCCTCCCAAAGGGCTGGGATTACAGGTGTGAACCATCACGCCCAGCCGGTAAGTTGGCAATTTTTTAAAAAGCTGTATTAAGATGCTAGGAAAGTCTTACATCCAGGAAGTTCGACAGTAGACATCAAGAACAAGGTTATGGGGTGTTCATGTTGCACTCATATGCATATGTTATATTATACATAAGAAATTCTATCACATCACACCAGCAGGTTTCAAGTTTAGCGTAACTCAGGGCCCCTCAGAAACTCTGCATGGAGAGGCTGTGGGGAGGATGGGAAAGGACCCACAGACCACGATGAGGACAGAGAGAATGGGAGAGGGCTGAGGCAGGAGCTGCTGAACTTGAGGCTTGAGGCGGGGGAAGCACGAAGAGGGAAGGCTTTGTGCTGAATTCAGATTTGTGTGGCTTACTAAGTGAACGGCAGCTCAGTGCTGTGATGGTGATCTTGCTTCGGAGAAATCTGGTGTGAAAACAGATCATCTAAGTTTTTGCTGTGGTCTCTGGCATTACCTTTACTTAGTGCATTATCACTGCACACAAGGTACACAATAAGTCACTTTTGTAAAAATAGATTTCAAGAGGAAAATTCTTACCAAGTTCCTTATAATGTCAGGGATTCAATTATAGTTCAGACTGAAGCACGTCCCCAGGTATCTATTGGTAATGTGTCGCCCTCTTGGTGAGCAAGAAAACATATGATGCAAATAGAAATTTTGTTCAAGATTAGTATTACAATGGGGTATGTGATTCGCGGTGAAGCAA